>NC_000012.12:45944976-46096491 GCF_000001405.40 Homo sapiens | reverse complement strand
CTTTTGGTTTCCATTAGTGTGCAATATTCTTTCCCATCCCTTTACCTTGAGTTTATGTGCATCCTTACATGTTAGGAGAGTCTCTTGAAGACGGCAGATATTTGGTTTGTGATTTTTTTTTATCCACTCTACCATTCTGTATCTTTTAAATGGAGCATTTAGGCCATTTACATTCAACGTTAATATTGAGATCTGAGGTACTGTTTCACTCATTATGTTACTTGTTACCTAGACACTTTTTTGTTGTGTTTTTGATTTATAGGTGTGTTTTTATTTTATTTTATTTTAAGTTCCAGGATACATGTGCAGGACATGCAGGTTTGTTACATAGGTAAATATGTGTCATAGTGGTTTTCTGCACCTATCAACCCATCACCTAGGTATTAAGCTCCATAGGCATTAGCTATTTATCCTGATGCTCTCCCACCCCCTGACCCCCCAACAGGCCCCAGTATGTGTTGTTCCCCCTGCTGTGTCCATGTGTTCTCATTGTTCAGCTCCCACTTATAAGTGAGAACATGCAGTGTTTGGTTTTCTGTTCCTGAATTAGTTTGTTGAGGATATTGGCTTCCAGCTCCATCCATGGCCCTGTAAAGGACATGATCTCATTCCTTTTTATGGCTGTATAGTATTCCATGGTGTATATGTACCACATTTTCTTTATCCAGTCTATCATTGATGGGCATTTGGGTTGATTCCATGTCTTTGCTATTGTGAATAGTGCTACAATGAACATACACCTGCATGTATATTTATAATAGAATGTTTTATATTCCTCTGGGTATATATTCCTCTGGTAATGGGATTGCTGGATCAAATGGTATTTCTGGTTCTAGGTCTTTGAGGAATTGCCACACTGCCTTCCACAATGGTTGAACTAATTAATTTACATTCTCACCAACAGTGTAAAAGCATTCCTATCTCTCCACAGCTTTGCTGGTATCTGTTGTTTCTTGACTTTTTAATAATCTCCATTCTGACTGGCATGAGATGGTATCTCATTGTGGTTTTGATTTGCATTTCTCTACTGATCAGTGATGTTGAGCTTTTTTTCATGTTTCTTTGGCCACATGAATGTCTTCTTTTGAGAAGTGTCTGTTCATATCCTTTGCCCGCTTTTTGATGGCGTTGTTTTTTTTTCTTGTAAATTTGTTTAAGCTCCTTGTAGATGCTGACTATTAGACATTTGTCAGATAGATAGCAAAAATTTTCTCCCATTCATTTGTAGGTTGTCTATTCACTCTGATGATAGTTTCTTTTGCTGTGCAGAGCTCTTTAGTTTAATTAGATCCCATTTGTCAATTTTTGCTTTTGTTGCAATTGCTTTTAACATTTTCATCATGAAATCTTTGCCCATGGGTTGGCAGGCTTTTCTACAGTCTTTTCCCAGTGTCCCTGAGCCCAGGAGAGGCCCAGAGTACAGCATCCTAGCCATCATCATGGTAGCCAGCACAAGAGGTTTGTAGCACATAACCAATGAGTTCCATTAGGAACATATCAGTTAAGGCTGGGTCATTGGGACCAATTTATTGCAAACAAGTCCCTTTTCTATACAACTATGGTAGGTTGACATTGTTCTGAGGGAATCCAACCCATGCCTCCAGCACTATTTGACTCCAGTCTAGGGTATGATTCCACTGCCCCCAGAAAAAGGGGACTTAAGTGTACCATTGATGCTGTCAGCCATAAAAAGCCATTCTAGATTTGAAGAAACTCATTCTTAGAGTGAGAGTACTGGGGCTTTATGTCTTAGATTATCATTTCTTTGTCCAGTAGAAGGGTGAGCAATGCTATTCCCCTTTCCTATATTACATTTCCATGAAAAAGGCTTTCCATGTCCAGATTCATTGAGAGTCTTATTATGGGCCATGGGTTATGTCTTTTCTGGTAACACCTGACATCTGTGCCCCTAACCTACTCCTTAAGGTCTTCTATGAAGGCTTGCAAGTGTGGCCAGTCACTTCTCTGTATAGGTGATACTTACCAAGACAGGCCCAGGCTGCTAGAGAAAGGCAATAGGCCACAGATTCAGCAGGAGTCCTGCTGTCAACCATCTGCATACTGTTGTGCCCATTGCAGGAAAAGGTTAGTGGTGGCAGCAGTAGACAGTAATAATAAATTTAAAATTGAAGGCACTAACAAGGTTTTCATTCTATAGGAAATTACCCAAAAAATGTTACTTCTCTACAGAGTTTTTCTTAAGTAGTAGTTTTAACTCCTCTTTTGGTTTACATGTCCAAGCAGGCTCCTCTGCGTGGTCAGGCCAGGGTGGGGCTGCCTTTGTTTGAGATTTATGGACCCATAGTCTTACTCCAGACTGATGACTGGATGACAGCTTGACTGATCAATGAGTGGTCAGCAGCGCATCATGGGGTCCAGTCCACTTTTCAGCCAGTTTTTGATCCAGACATTTTTTTCACGACTTTAGTGGCACCTTGTCTCCTGGAAGGGGCTCATCTGTAGGGTAGGCAGACGTGGAGAGAGGAAGCTGATGCATAGTCAGTAATGTTTGTCACTATTGCTGCATGTGTTGCCTAATTCTAGACTCACTTAAGAAATCCAAAGGCAGAATCCCTGGCAAGGAGATCTAGAAGAGTTTCCCATATATAATTTCAAAAGGATTTCATCCAAGCCCGCTTTGGGGTGCTACCCTGATCAGAGCAAAGCAATAGGCAAAACTTCATCCCAGCTTGGATCAGTCTTCTGGCAGAGTTTGGCTATTGTCTTCTTTAAGGTGTGGTTCATCTTCTCTGTTTTTCCCATCTATTGTGGTCTCCATGATGAATGCAATTTCCATTTAATCTATAATGCTTGACTTATCTTCTGGGTAACTTCTGAAATAATGGAAGAACTTGTAGCTCTGTATAGTGCATGGGAGTCCAAATCGGGATTATTTCCTTCAACAATGCTTTGGCTACATCTGTAGCCCTTGAGATTTTGTGGGGTATGCCTCGACACATCCAAAAAAATGTGTCTACAAATACCAAAAGAAATCTGCAATTTCCACTGGCCATGGGCATTTGAATGAAGTCTACCTGCCATTCCTCAAAAGAGCATATCCATTTGTATTGTATCCTCTGTTGGGGGGACTTCATTCAGTCTTGGAAATATTCTCAGCACATAAAACACATCCTTGTGTTATTTTATGAATCATTTTCTGGAAGTGTGTGGGCTTCAGAGTAGGGCCACACTAGGTAAGCAAGAGCATCTCTCCTATAATATGTCTCCTCATGTAGATGTCTTAAAATTAAATAAACCATGGCCTTAGGGAGTAGAATTGTTCCATAAGCATCAGTTTTCCTGGGTCTGTTTTTATCAAACTCCCAGTCCTGCATGTGCTTTTTGTCTTGCTCCATGGTCCAATTGCCAGAGAAATAGGCTATGGGTTGTGGAATATCTCCTAGCCTTTGGATCAGCCAGACTGTGCCTTGTTTCTCATGGACATAGAGTTTGAACTTCTAGGGGTCCATCAATCCCAACACTAGGGCTGATAGCAGTTTTTCTTTGTTGGCATAAAATGTCTGTTGACATTCATCTGTCCAGGGCAGGGGCTCTGAGTTCAATCTTTTTAAAGCTTCATAAAATGGTTTAGCCATTAGCCCCAAATTAGAAATCCAAATTTGACAGAAGCCAGCCATTCCTAGGAATCCTTGCAATTGCCTTCTATTATTTGGAGTTTTGATGGTTACTATTGCCTGCTTTCAGTCAGTCATTGGCTTCATTTGTCCCGTCTTAACCCAAAGCCAAGATAGGTTACTTCTCATTTGCAGGTTTGGGCCTTCTGTGGGGATACCTTATATCCACATTGGTCAGATGCTTTAGGACTAGAATAGTATTGGACAAGCATTATTCAGAATCATGGCTTGCTCTAAGTCGTCTATACATTGTAGCAGAATTCCTTCATCTAGTTATAAGCACCTCAAGTCTTTTTCCATTATTTTCCCAGAGATAGTGGGCGAATTTTTGAATTCTTAAGGCAGCACCATCCAATAATATTCAAGGGTTGTTTTGGTCTCTGTATTCTGCCATTCAAAGGGAAATAATTGCTGGGCTCTCTCCTCAATCAGGATGCAGAAAAAGACGTCTTAGATACAACACTGAAAACCACCTGTATTTTCTGGGTATAAAAGTTAATAATGTATATGGGTTAGGCACTGTCAGATGAATATCTTATACTATTTTATTAATGGCCCTCAAGTTCTGGACAAACTGATAATTCATCACAGTGCAGCTTTTTCACAAGCAGGATAGGAGGGTTATGTAGGGACCTACAAAAATGAATCAGTTTCTTTTTCAAACATTTTTGTAGAAGAAGTTGTATTCCTTCTAAGTCTTCTTTTTTTTTTAATAGATATTGCTTTCTCCAGGCACCCTATCCCCCTCTTTTATTTCTATGTGCTTTGGGTGTGTGTTTTTGGCTTTTCCCTGTATCTCATTTGCCCAAATGCAATTACGCACTCTTTTATAGTTTTCTGGAGGAAAGGCTTCTTCTTCCCCTTTCTCAGAGTAAGTGAGCAGCATTTGTAGTCACAGCACCTATTCCAGCAGGACCCGTAAGCACAATTGCTGCTTCTCTAGGGGAAGAATAACTTAAGCATTTAATTTACATAGCAGGTCCCATCCCAGCAGGGGGATTAGGCAGTCTGACATATAGAGAAAGCTGTGTCTTAGTTCCGGGTCTCCCAGTTTGTACTCTAGAGGTCGTAAGAAAGTTTTTTGTTGTATCCCTCCTGCAACTCCCATTATAGGTACTGTTATTTTGGTGCTTTTTGCTTCTGGGGTGTTAAGAACTGAGTGAGTAGCACCTGTGTCAACCAGGAAATGGATTAGCTTGTTCCCCATTGTCATTTATAACTGGAAGCTCCTGTGGGGAAATTTTAATTGGTTCCAAGAGATTTAAGGGAGCCTCCAGGCATCCCTATTTTTTGTCAGGGCCACAGCTTTGTCCTGTCATTTATTTGCCTATGACTTCTTGGGTGGATTCTGCTTTTCTTTGTCCACCTGGCCCCTTTACTTCTGGGCAGCTATCTTTTCCAATGGCCTTCCTCTATACAGTAGGCACATTGGTTGTGACCCAGAGGCTTGCCTGGTTTCTCCAGTATGGAGGCTTTCCTGCCTATGCCACATGTGGTGCCAGGCTTTTGTTTATTTTCTTCACTGCCACTGAATACTTTGAAAGTAACATCCACCAACTGGGGATGAGTCATTCCCAGTGCAGCATCCCATTTTTCTAGCTTTCTCTTTATATCTGGGATGTTCTGCTGAATGAAAGTTATGTTCACTAGTCTTGAATTGTCAGAGTCTTCCAGGTTTATATCAGTATATCTGTGGAAGGCTTGGTAAGTACACTCTGAAAATTCAGAGGGATCTTCATTTGTCTTTTGGACGACTGGATTTTGCTTAAACTCTTTTGTTTGAGCAGTCCTCTTCTGAGTCCAACCAAGATGTGTGCCTGCTAATGTGCCAGACAGGCCATACTCCTAGTTCACTTGAGATCCCAGTTAGGGTTTTTGCCAGGAATAGCCCCTATGGGATTAGGGGTACTATTTGGATTACCCTCATAGAGGCACCAAGATTCCTCATTTGCCTTTTCCATTACTAGTCTCCTTTTATCTGCAGTTAGAGCATGTTTAAAAGGACCCATACATCTGCTCAAGTGGGCTGATGGGTGGCAAAATAGATTCAAAGAGGTCCATCATTTTCAGAGGGTCCTCTCTATAAGGTGGGTTGAAACTCTTCCAATTCAATAAATCAGACGTTGAAAATGGGCTGTAAGTCCAATAGTGTCCAGCAGGCTGCCCATATTCATCCAAACCACCCACAGAAATTAGCCTGAGTGGGAATTGCCCTGCTCCAGCTGTGGCATTGCCCTGTCCAAATCAGGTGGCCTGTTGGATCTTAGAGGGGGTGATCATTCCAATTCCCTCATCATACTGTGGAGGGACAGTGGCCCCTCCTTCTAGACATAGCTCAGTTATGAGTACTTTGGGGTTTTAGAAAGGATGACCCATTCAGGGGTATGGTAGAAACTGTTCCCCTTCAGGGCTGGATCCCTGAATTGAGCAGGCAAGAAAAATAAAGAAAGATAATTAAGGGTCCAAGCATAAATGTCACACACTCACACAGTCACAATCCCAAGTGGCATGCTCTCAAACATATCCCCACTCAAGGAGCTGGGTACAGAGTCCACAACTTGAACTTCATCTCAATTTCAAATGGCTCCACAAGTAGATGAGTATAAACACAGCAAAGCTCAGGTAACACCATAAGTACAAACAGCATACAAGCCCAAATGATGTTACCAGCAGCTAAGTCTGACAAGAGCAGACCCCAAGTAGCATTTAAAGAAACAGAAGAAAGCCAGGTGCACTCTGGCCAACTTACCCTATTCTGAAGTCTGTCAACTACCTCAGCTGCCACTTTCTTGGCACCAGTGAAGCATAAGGGGCAGCCAGCACCACAGCAGGAAGAGAAGGGAGGTTTCTCAAGACAAAAGCATCTCAGCAGCTTCAGGGAAACTCCCTAGAGTCTCAGCTACAGGGTCAGCTAGACACGAGCAGCTATTGCTCACAGGTGGCAATTTGCCCCATCCAGTAGAAACCAGACCAGCAGGCTCAGACTGCTCAGAATGCACAGCACTCCCAATGTGGGCCAACAACACTCGTAACCAAATGCACGTTCAGTTACTTGTTATTTACAAATTCAAACACCAAGGATGAGGTGGGGTGGAAGGAAAGTGACTTTATTTCAGGGCTAGCAGTGGGGAAATGGCCAATGCTTCATGCCTTAAAGAAACCATGCCAATTTTTGGGCAGAATACAAGGACTTCAAAAGGGAAGCTTGGTATGAGGGGAATGCAAGAGGAATGAGGATGTGCCAGTCTGCGTAACTTGCTCCAATGACTTATCCTGAGTTATTGCAAAATCTGCTGAATGGGTTGGCGCCATCCAAGGCACAGTTGGGTTGTAAGTTAATTGCAGGCTGCAGGTAATCTCCTGGTGGGGAGAATTCTGTAGGTGCCTGGATTGTTTTAAGATTCAGTCCCTGAATTATAAAGCAAGCATATAATTAGATAAGGGGGACATTGTTGTGTCTGGTGGAAAGAAAGAGCAAAGATTATTGCTTCATTTTTAAGAAGTTAAACACAAAGTAAACAAGGAAGAAAAAGAAGAAAGAAAGAGAAAGAAAGAAAGAGAGAAAGAAAGAAAGAAGGAAGGAAGGAGAGAGGGAGAGAAGGAAGGAAGGAAGAAGAAGAAGAAAGAAAGAAGAACGGAAAGAAGAAAGAAAGAAAGAAGGAAGGAAGGAGAGAGGGAGAGAAGGAAGGAAGGAAGAAGAAGAAGAAAGAAAGAAGAACAGAAAGAAGAAAGAAAGAAAGAAAGAAAGAAAGAAAGAAAGAAAGAAAGAAAGAAGAAAGAAAAGAAAGAAAGAAAGAGAAAGAAAGAAAGAAAGAAAGAAAGAAAGAAAGAAAGAAAGAAAGAAAGAAAGAAAGAAAGAAAGAAGGAAAGAAATGGTTAAAAATAGGGTACTTGATTACAATATTTCAAGCCTGGGTGCCTAGGAGAAACTGATGCAAGGGCAGAAATAGAGATGCCTGGAGAAGACTTCACTTGTGGGACAGTTGACGATATGAGGTGCTGCTTGCAGAGTGCCCATGACATGTTCAGCAAGTGCTTGGTAACACAGGCCCAAAGCCCTGAATTGTGGAATCAGTAAATGAATGAATGAAGCACTCAGATCAAACAAATATTCATATTATAAACAAATCATGTTTACATTTACTGCTAATACTGGGATCACTTTGTATGTCACAGATACTTTATCTCACCTTGAAGATTAGCTAATAACTTTGTACTATTTTTACTTTCCAGAGCTGAGCATGTAAAAATGTGAAATCTTTCAGTACAAATTATGATGATAAATCCAATATGTGATTAACCAATTGCTTTGGATTGCATAGTCTGGCACCTCTCAAATTTTAAAGTATGGGAAGTGTTGGAGAAATAGATTTGAGGCTGTACTTTATTAAAAAAAAAAAAACCATCACTGTTGCTGTTGCCATGAGGCAGTAAAAGCCAGGGAGTCACCTTCACTTAAACCACTGCTGCTGCTACTTTGGTATCAAACTCTACCCTGCATCTGCTGCTGCCACCTCATCAGCAAAATGTAAATGCCACACAGAACTCATTCCCTATGATTGCTCACTTCCAAACTGAAGTCTCCTTTGGAGTCATCTAATTAGTGGTTAGCAGGTCATATGTCTGCATCCCTGCTACAGGGAAGCTGTAATTTATGTTCTGGCTTTTATGTTTCCTGGTCCCTGAGTCTCCTTTGTTGCCTATGAGACCCAGCATTCAAGGTCCTCCTGATGACCTCTGAGCTTCCATGATGATCCCTGAGTCACAACTTGTCCCAAGAGCCCAAGTTCCCATGACCGAGATGGTACTTTGAGCCATCTCTACTGTTCTGTTCTCAGTAATTTATTGCCCTAGAAGTGGGAGTACTGGCTTTTAGATAAGCCTACTGCCTGGGGTTTTGCTAACATACCTAGCTCTGGCCAGTTTACTTCCCATTTGCCTGCGATGCCTCCGCACCCAAAGGCATAAAGTAAATGTGCAATAAATGTTGAATAAAAAATCAAAAACTTTTCCACCAATGAAAAAACTTCATAGATAGCTACTACATATCTTCCCAATTCCTTTATATTGGACTTTGTTCTGCATTCAGAATCCTGATACCTCTCATATAGAACCATAAGCCTGCAGCGCAGCTTGAACAATGTATTTTTCCACCTGCTACCTCTATAGTTGCTCCAGCAGTCACTGTGGAGTTCTGATCAGTAAGCAATAAGGAAGGGGTCCCAGGTAGGGGAGAAAAACTGTTCCAAGAGACAGCTAATCATAAACAGCCCATTGGCACAACTACCTCACTCTGCATGTAGCCCCAGCAGCACTATCTTCTAAAACTTTCCTCCAGCCCATGCCTGTTTGCAGATAGCCCCTTCTCTGCTGTGCTGCCCATTGCTTCTTTGCAATGTACTTTCCCTCTAATAAATCTGCCTTTCTTTACCTACAATTGTCTTGGTAAATTCTTTTCCCATGACACCAGCCCCAGGCAGTCACACCCATGATATTTTGGTGGCCTATATGGTGAGTGCTCTGGGACTTCTCCCCTACTCTCTCCCTTTCCTCTCCTCCAACTCCAGCCTTTCGGTGGACAGTGTCCAAGCCCAGAGAAAATTGAAGGTTCACATGGTAAAACTTCTGACTGCTGATGCCCAATCAAGTGAGAGTTCAGCGTTTGCTTTCCTTTTCAGTCTTCCCATGAACAAACTCTAGCATCCCTCTGGCAACTGATGGCCACTGGTCACGGCACTTCCTGGGATAGGCTGAAGGCCAAGCAGTGAACAGATTTGGCAGCCTTGCTTAGAAGGAAAGAAGGCTCTTTCCTATCCTTTCTGGTCAAAAGTCCCCAATCCCTATGTGTAGCACAATAGGCAGAAGAAGCTTGACTAGGGCAAACCCACACATGTTTTGGGGGAACTAATACCCCCTCTTTCTTATTCTAAATTCTCCCATAAAGACAGCCAGCCACCTGCTCCAAACATCTTAAGCCAGCTGATCCAAAACAGCATTGGGACAGTGAGTCTTTCCTCAACCTCTTCCCCTCGTACTTGGATTGAACGCCCAGAGGAACTCGTGCCTGGGCTGGCCACCCAGGATAATTTGTACCGGGACTGACCTTGGGTCACTCACCCAGTGTTCATCCACCATAAGGCCCTAGCACCAGAAGATCCTTTCCAATAGGTGGGATGCCCCTTTGGAAAGTGCATCTCAGAGTCACTCAGCAGATGTGAGTGGAACCCTTTTCACTTGGCAGGATCCCCCAAGAGAAACTGTGGTTCATATCCCTAGTGGATGTTCTTTCCCATCAGTCCCATCATGGGACAAAGTCCTTCCATTCCCTCAGAGTCACCCTCAGGCTGCATTTTAAAGCATTGGGATAAATTTGACCCTCAAACTCTCAAAAAGAAATGTCTAATTTTCTCATGTAATACAGCATGGTTCCTATGCAAGAAATCCTGAAATTAGTCCCCTCAGTCTCTTATAACCAGAAGCAGAATAAGAAGGACAGGGCTAAGGAGAAAGAAAAACTCAGGGACAAGAGTCAGGCTCAATTCTTGGTTGTTTTACAAATCCCCAGCCCCCTCTAGGCTGCCCTAGGGACACGCCTCCAGGTAACTGCCATCAGTGAAGAAGATCAGTCCACTGGAAGGCAAACTGCCCCAATGGAATAAATGGAAAAAAGCCGCATGTGGCTTGCCCACTCTGTCACAATCTTGGTCACTAGAAACAGGACTGTCAAAGACACCATGGGACAGAGTCCCAACACCCAATGGCCTTGAGCTGAAGGGGCCCTCTGCTCCAACTGGCTTCCAAATTGGACATGGTCATCAACAAGACAAATCCAAGGGCAACTCTGGAGGCAGCAAGTAAAATTTTACATTTCCCTTTTAGGTTCAAGAGCTGCCTACACTGTACTAATCTTCTCTGAGCAACTGTTCTCCAAATCCTGTTGGGTAACGGGGGCAAATGGCACCC
Organism: Homo sapiens; assembly: GCF_000001405.40. NCBI lineage: Eukaryota > Metazoa > Chordata > Mammalia > Primates > Hominidae > Homo > Homo sapiens. The sequence goes on along the minus strand of NC_000012.12, from coordinate 46,085,893 downwards.
CCATCCTCCAGAAGAAAAAGAATTAATACCCCTTTATATTACTTAAGAAATCAATTACTATTCTTGCACCAGTCCCTGGTATGTCTAAATAACCCACATCCCTTTGGGGCAAAAATATAATTATCAAGATGGATGCATGCTTAAAATTTACCCAAGCTCTGAATTCATCTTTCTCTCTACTAGCCCTGTTTCTCCTGGAAAAGCTACCTAAATTTTTAGCCAATATCTTCAACCTAGATAGTCCTACCTCAAAGGTTTAAAAATAGCCCACACTTATTCAGACAAACACTAGCAAGAAATCTAACCGAGCAATCTCTTGGGGGAGGGATAGCTTCTACAGTATGTAGATCACCTCCTCATCTGCTCCCCTTTCACAGGACTTGCACAGCAACATGTGATACAAACCATAACTTCCTAACAGAAGAAAAATGACTTTTGTCTAATTCAAGGGTTATAAAGGTAAAGAGGTAGTTTTTTGTAAGGAAGGTTATAAAAAAGAGATTTTCTATGAGAAAGGATCTTGTGTGGGAAATTCTTTTCCTAAAGTAAAATGACTGGTTGTTTAAAAAGAGGTATGTTTAGGACAAGTCGGAAAGTCCAAGCATTCATTGATGGTCTGCATAAGTTATGAGAAAATCTGTGAAAGGAAATTTATAAAAGGGATGTTGTATGTAATTAAGACACAATAGTCTCTCTAAAATTGGTTCCTTATGCTGTGTCTAATTAAATTCAAACACTTTTTCGCTGAGTTTAACTTCCAGGTTATCTAAATTGGCTTCCAATAAGGAAAAACGTCACATTGCAAGAGGTTTTCCTTTGCCTTTTTGGTAACTGACTTAAGAAAGAAAATTTTATCTTCTAGAATTCAGCAGTTTCTTTCAAGTGATGCTGTGAATGAGATCAGTCTCTCCCCAGTGATGCCTGCTACCTTTATGATCTCCCCTGGATTCAGCTGGACACGAGCTTTGCCTTGACATGCTCCCGCTGTTTGATGAGTCCCTCCAGCAAGATCTAATATCCTAAGTCCCACAATCCAGGACAATGACTCACAGGGTCTCTTGACAGACCAAAAACCATAGGTAGAGTCAGCGTTACACCCACAGTCAGCAGGAAGTAGTTGGAAGATGAAACTTCCACCCCAATGCCAAAGATTTGTCATTGTTTTTCTATTGGGACTTGGGGGTGGGGGGGATGTGGAGTCTTAATAAGTAATCAGCAACAAGGAAGGGGTCCCAGGTGGGGGAGAACAATTATTCCAAGAGACAGCTAATCACAAACAAACCACTGGCACAATTACCTTGCTCTCCACATAGCCCCAGCAGCACGTCCTTGTTCTGTGAATAGCCTATAAAACTTCAATCCAGCCCCTGCCTCTTTGCAGAAAGCCCCTTCTCTGCTGTGCTGCCCATTGCTTCCTTGCAATGTACTTTCCCTCCAATAAATCTGCTTTTTTGTTTTACCTACAACTGTCTTGGTAAATTATTTTACTGCCTGCAATGCTGGCTCCAGCCAGTGACACCCATGACAGTCACCTTTTCTGTCTCCTCAATAAACAGAGATCAGGCTGCACCAACAACATATGACAAGACTTGAGACAAACCATTTAACAATCACAGGGTCAGATGTGGTGGCTCACACCTGTAATCTCAGCACTTTGAGAGGCCAAGGTGAGAGCATTGCTTGAGGCCAGGAGCTCAAGACCATTTAATCATCACAGAACTTGTGTTTCCTCTCTGTAGGGCAAGAGTTGACTAGACAATACCCATAGTTATTCCCTTTTACAATCATACAACTCTTTCACACTATATTGAGGCCCAAAAGCCAACATCCCAAAACACAGTGCTTTGACAAGCTGAACTAAAGAAGAGGCCTCAAGATCTCCCTGACTTCTCCTCCATTATGCTACCAAAGCCAGGCTGAAATTCCTTTATCTGCCTCAAGTCCTGGCCCACGAAAAAGACAATCTTTTTTTTCTTCCTCTCCATGTTAGTAAGACCAAGAAGATAACCACATCTGAACAGACCCTTTCCCAAGAAAATGTCTGCCTGCCAGCCTCATTCCAATTCCAAAGAGAACTATTTACAAGTTAATTTTTGTTGCCAGATCCATTTATTCTCCTTAGTAATCCTTTATTGTCCCTCAACAGAATTCCTCCTCTCCTCCCTCTCATAATCTGTTTGGCCAGGATTCTAGTTACCTGTCTTTCTATAACCTTAGGATGGTATTAATATATAAGATTCTGATCCCTGTTGGTGAGTGAGTAACCACTTTGTTCTCCCTGTATTTACATTTATAAATTTATATGCCTTTTCTCCAATCCAGTTGCCTTTTGTTAGTTTATTTTTCAGTGAAACTTCAGAGGGTGAAGGGGAAAAGTTTTCCCTTGGCCCCTAAACAACCTATATATTATGTTACTACGAAATAGAATATGCCTCTTTTCTCCTCTTTAATCTAGTGTGACAAATCATAACATTCAAACAATATCTTTTTCTTTTAATAAAACTGCTCTACTACACAGTGGCTCACACCTGTAATCTCAGAATTTGGGAGGCCAAGGAGAGAGGATTGCTTGAGGCCAAGGGGTTCCAGACCAGCCTGGAAACATACTGAGACCCCATCTCTACAAAAAAAGTTAAAAATTAGCTGGGTGTGATGGCACACACCCGTAGTTCTAGCTACCAGGGAGGCTGAAGCAGGAGTTCTGGGCTGCAGTGAGCTATGATTGTGCCGCTGCACTCCAACCTGGGAGACAGAGCAAGGCCCTGTTTCTTAAAATTAAAAAAAAACTGCTCTACTGCACTTCAACAAAAGGATGAGCCTAGCTACCAAAGAACCCTATAGCTGTAGCTAGACCTTAGTACAAGCCCTTACTTCTTTATAAGCTGTGAGCCATTGAGCAAGTCATTTAAAATTTCTGAATTCTCTCATGCATGATATATGAATATAAAGCCCCATCTACCTCATGCAGTTCTTGTAAGATTATTTATGTGAAAATACCCAACAAATATGAAAAACATAAAAAACAAAGATAAGATGATATTAATGTTTATGTCAGGGCTTGTAGTCATCCATATTTCTGAAACTTCCCCCCAAAATAAAAAAAAAAGATAGGAATTGACTTCCAGTATAAAGTCTCTACTCCTTCTGAGTTCATGCACATAATCTCCATAAAAGGAAATTACAACATCTCAATTGTAAACCACCTCACTGAAGCTGAGTTAAAGAACAAGTGGAGCTATATGAGTCACATGATGACTGCTATGCACCTGTAGATATATATAAGGAGATGAAAGCAGAAAATCTAAATTGGTAACAGAATTTTCATTGAATTCTCTTAATTAGCTCACTCCAGGGGAGTGAATATAATCCACTCTCCCCATTTCCAGAGGCTTCCAATGTATCAGGACTCTATTTTTATTACATGAATTGCTTTACAAATAAGCACAGTGTGAAGCATCAATGCTTTATAAAAACCACATTAATGCACCAACTTGTTCAGAAGCCAAGAAGAGAATAAGATCACACATCCTAGAGAGAATTTAATGGGCCCAGCTTGAAGTTTTTTCCAGCCAACACCATTGAACACCTGTTAACAATCATGAAGAAGTCACAGGGATTATCGAGCATCTAAGTACATTGCACTAAATTCCATACTCCAGCAGTGTTGATTTATTTTCTCCTAAAGTTCCCATTGTTAAACTTTCTCACCAATGACTAATCCTGGAAAAAACATCTCTCTCCCTATAAGACTCCCAGATGGGACCAAATGATTTAAGAAAAAATTTATTAAATAGAAATAAAAAATATTTTGCTTGGAAAGAGACACCATAAGCAAAGTAAAAATAAAGTGGTGAATGGGGAGAAAATGTAAATTTACAACATATATCACACAAAAGGTTAATGTCCCTGATACATGAAGAGCTTCTAAAAATAGGGAACAAAATTTCCATTAGCCTTATAGAAAAACGGGCTATAGCCCAGAAAAAAATGCAAGTGGTTCTCAACTACAAGAGGCAAATGAAAACTTTACTGATATACCATTTTGCACTCTTAGATAGGCAAATCTGCAAAAATTTGACAAAGCAATCTTTTAGAAACGCCTAGGGAAATAGAAACATCCTATTGATGAATAAATATTCACCAGGAGATATGTGATGGAATAAACTACAGTCCAGTGATTGTCAAATTTTGGTGCTTATTAAAAAAAAGATAAACCATAACAATTGTTGAAATGGCTATATATGGGGGAGGGAGGAAATAAGGTAGACTTCTTGAGATATACCTTGTTTTAGAGATTTGACTTTGGAAGAATGTATTTCACTTAACTAGGAAAAGAAATAAAATTTAAATAAAATATTTTAAAATAATATGAAATAAATATACCTAAGTGTGTGTCCAGATGATGGCAAGATAATTCCAAATAACATTAAAACACACTTGACTGTATAGCCCCAGTGGAATATGTCTCATCAAAAAATGTGCAAAAAGTAAAATAAAATAAAATGTCAAATTCTTTTTAGTTATCATATTGTTAGCAGTAATGTAGGCATTGTTATTCAGAGACTATTATGTATAATAGAGCAAATAAGTAATTATTGGATATCTTTAATATTTTTAACTCTATCATTCTCACTGTAATTGATAAGATTCTTGGCATAGGCAAAAGGAGATACAGATAAAAGAAGAATTACATACAAACATTGTAATCTTGAATTTGAAGTATCATTTTAAACTCATAATTTATTTTATCTTTTTTTAAAAAACAGCATAAAAGAAACCATTTCTTAGCCCTGTGCCCTTAAAAGGCCACCTGGATTGTGTTCTCTAAATACCATTCCCCACTGAAAAGAAACAAGGCTCTTTAAAAAATGGCTGATCCCAGGTCTGAGGCAGGAAATGCACAAGATCATGAGGAAACCTCCAAAGACAACTGCAGTCATGTGAAAAGGATGCAGAAGCTGACTGAAAGAGACTCCCACTAGCCAAAGAAGGGATACTTTGAGGCTCAATGAGAATAACAACTGCAATGTATTGAAACACATCAAATATGTTTAGATTCATGAGTTCATAATAATATTCAAAAGAAAAAGAAGGAAAAAAGTGCTGAATTGATTTAAGACATGCCAGTGAAACCAACTTATTATTTTTAAAACCAGTAAAGAATTCAACCACTTATCCTGCTTTTCTTATATAAACTGTACCACTGGATTATAAAGTAGAAGATGAGGGAAGTTATCTCTTTATAGAAATATTCTATAATACATTTGAATTCGAACATCACCATTTTGCAATTCCTAATGAAATAATAGACTAAGTAATGATTATTAACAGCTGATAATATAGCAAAACAAGAGATAACCAAATATCACCTGCCTCTTAACTAAAGGACAGAGCAGTTTGGCAATAAATAAATAAATAAATAAAATTTCTAAAAATTGAACTTGAGTCTGATTAAGACTCTGGATCCAACAATGAATTTACAGGAAAGGCAAAGAACAGAATAACACGTTTAACAACATGGTAACATTTACTGATTGTATTTCACAGGAATATAGTCAGCAAAATCACCACTGTAGGGAACAATCACAAAACAAACTAATTTCCTTAATAAACTGCAAGTAAAAAAATAAAGAAGAGATGAAACCTATAAGTTAAAAGAGAGTCAACAAACATATCAACCAATTACCCTGAAGAGGCCTTACATATATCCTAATTCAAACAGAGAAAGAAAGTTGGAAATTTGATTACTGATAAATAATTTGTTCTTGGGTTTTTGATGGGGTTTGTCTGTTTTTTGAGACAGGGCCTTGCTCTGCCGCCCAGGCTGGAGTACAATGGCATGATCACTACTCACTGCTCTCTCAACCTCCCAGCTCAAGTGATCAATCCTTCCACTTTAGGCTCCCAAAATGCTCGGATTAGAGGTGTGAGCCACCACACCCAGCCATGATTGGTAATTGGATAGTAAAGACTTATTGTTAATTTGGGTGGGGTGACTACATACTAAAATATTTACAAATAATATGATATCATTTCTGGGATTTGCCTCAAAATATTGTGAAAGGGAAAACTGAGAAACATAGTGGTGTTCTAGTAAATGCTTAACAACCAGCTTGAGTGGAATGAGGGCCTGATTGGTGTTATATGTATCATCTACTGATTGCCATGGTACAAATACACCCACCACGACAAATTTCAAGCTATCAGTATTGGGCAATGATGATTATAGACTACCTTCACAGGTGTTTAATTACAAAGAAAATATACAAAGTTTTCCAGAAATAACTGTGGATCCTCTCCCAACTATAATAATGCAGAAAAAGACTTCTAAGAGTAGATCTTCCTATTACATTTGAGATAAATTCTTCCTTGTTTCATAAATTCCATAAAAGCATTTCAAAAATCTCTATGATGTTTTATATTAAATTTAGCAGCATGAAATCTAGAATTAGAGCTGGGAAGAGACACTCACAATCCATTCTTTCCAACTGGTGCAAGCCACCTCCAGTATACCACTGGAGAAGCTGTATAGATTAAATAAGGTTGGCCATGAATTGACAAGCTTTTCACCTCAGGTGGTAATGTGGTTTGGATCTGTGTCCCCACCCAAATCTCATGTTGAATTGCAATCTCCTGTTGAATTGGATCATGGGGGTGGATTCCCCCCTTGGTGCTGTTCCCATGAAAATGAGTGAGTTATCATGAGATCTGGTCATTTAAAAGTGTGTACCACCTCCCCCTTCTCTCTTGGCCCTGCTCCCGCCATGTAAGAAGCCTGCTCCTGCTTTGCCTTCCACCATGAGTAAAATTTCCCTGAGGCCTCCTCAGAAGCAGATGCCACTATGCTTCCCGTACAGATTGCAGAACTAGGAAGCCAATTTAACCTCTTTTTTGTATAAATTACCCAGTCTCAGGTATTTCTTTAGAGCAGTGCAACAATGGACTAATACAGAAAATTGATACTAAGGAGTGGGGCATTCATATATAAAAATACCTAAATATGTGGAAGCAGTTTTTGAATTGGGTAACTGGCAGAAGTTGGAATAATGTGGAGGTCTCAGAAGAAGACAAGAAGATGAGAGAAAATTTGGAACTTCCCAGAGACTTGTTAAATTGTTGTAACCAAAATGCTGATAGTGATAAGGACAATAAAGTCAAGGCTGATGAGGTCTCAGATGGAGATGAAGAACTTACGGAGAACTGCAGCAAAGGTCACTTTTGTTATGCATTAGCAAAGAACCTGAGAGCATTGTGCCCCTACCATAGGGTTCTGTGGAATTTTGAACTTGAGAGTGATGGTTTAGGGTATCTGGTGGAAGAAATTTCTAAGCAGCAAAGTGTTCAAGATGTGGCCTGGCTGCTTTTAACAGCCTATGCTCATATGCATGAGGAAAGAAATGACATAAAACTGAAACTTATATTTAAAGGAGAAGCAGAGCATAAAAGTTTTAAAAATTTGCAGCCTGGCCATGTGGTAGAAAAGAAAACCCATTTTCAGGGGAGGAATTCAAGCAGGCTACAGAAATTTGCACGAGTAAAAGGGAGCCAAATGCTAATAGCAAAGACAATGGGGAAAATGCCTCAGAGGCATTTCAGAGACCTTCATAGCAGCCCCTTCCATTACAAGCCCAGAGCCCTACGAGGGAAGAATGATTTCGTGGGCCACATCCAGGGCCCTGCTGCCCTGTGCAACCTTGGGACACTGCTCCCTGCATCCCAGCTCCTCCAGCTCCAGCTTTGGCTCCAAGGGGTACAGGTACAGCTAGGGTCACTGCTTCAGAGGGTGCAAGCCATAAGCCTTGGCAGCTTCCATGCAGTGTTACACCAGTGGGTGTGCAGAGTGCAACAGTTGCGGCTTGGGAGCCTCTGAGTAGATTTCAGAGGATGTAGGGAAAAGCCTGGATGTCCATGTAGAAGTCTGCTGCAGGGGCAGAGCCCTCATGGAGAATCTCTACTAGGGCATGCAGAGGGGAAATGGGGAATTGGGGCAGATTTCCCCCTTGGTGCTGTTCCCATGAAAGTGAGATCTCTCATGAGATCTGGTCATTCAAAAGTGTGTAGCACCTGCCTCCTCTCTCTCTTGGTCTTGCTCCTGCCATCTAAGAAGCCTTCTCCCACTTTGCCTTTGCCATTAGTAAAAGGTCCCTGAGGCCTCCCCAGAAGCAGATGTCACTATGCTTCTAGTACAGCCTGCAGAAGTGTGAGCCAATTGGACCTTTTTTCTTTATAAATTACCCTGTCTCGGGTATTTCTTTATAGCAGTGCAAGAACAGACTAATACAATTGATACAATATCAATTATTCTATAGCATCAAATCCTCCATAATAAAACATTTTTAATGCAATTACTAGCTTTCCTTTCCTAAGAAAACATGCAAAATGGTTGAAACACATTAGACACCTAAGGAAATAAGAAGTTTGAGTTTTCTCAGTTAAGTGCTGTTTTGTACTCAAGTATGTTCTCAATCATCATCTAAGTAAAGGATTCCTTCTAGCTCTTGCTTTTTCCTAAGTCACAAGGATGAATAACTGAAATAATATTTTTTAAAAGTTATTTGTATATGTATACATGTATATTCATATACATATATGTATACACATGTACATGTATATTCATATATATATACACATATATGTATATGTATATATATCCAATCCTCCATGTGATGTGAAGGCCTGACTATAGAATGCACCTGACTTGGGCAATGATGATTACAGAGTACCTTCATTGGTGTTTCACTACAAACTACAAAGAAAATATACAGTTTTCCAGAAATAACTTTGGATCCTCTCTCAACCAAAATATGAGGAAAACCTCTAAGAGTAGATCTTCCTATTACATTTGGGATGAATTCTTCCTTGTTTCATAAATTCCATGAAAGCATTTCAAAAATCTCTGTGATGTTTTATATGAAATTTAGCAGCATAAAATCTGGACTTCTAACATTTTACACACATTAACTAATTTAATCCTTTCGTCGATACTAAGAAGCAAGTGTTATTATTATCCCCATTATAAAGATTAGGAAAGAGAGAGAGGCTAAGGTTACCATACTAGAAAACAGTAGAGCCAGGATTTGAACCCAAATAGCTTGACTGCAGAATCTAAGCTCTTAGCCAGTTTTTCAACAAGGAGAGAAATTAGCCATGGCAATTATATCATCATTCACCCAGTGACCAGTCATGGCTGAGCAGGATGAGCACAGGAGCAGGAGATAATGTCGGCTTCAGAATGGCTATGTCATTCTCAGCAAGTTACTAAATCACTCTGAGTTTCAGTTTACTCCTCTATAAAATGCAGATCTCTAAGGTCTTTTCCAGTTCAAAAACTCTAATCTAATTGATGACAATTTTGATAAATGATATTTCTCTGTTTGCAAGTTTATTCCATTTCCAAGTTACATTCTCTCAACTTTGTCGATAGTGAATTATGTCTAAAGTTTATAGAAACAGATACCTCAGCAGGCTCTTTAGCAATATAGATCTGGCATTTATTGTACTTTATTTTTCTATATTTCCCCAAAATGTTCCAGTATTCTATTTTAATTCAGTATCTCTCATATCTATTTTTAAATTGCTATCAAAATAAATAGGAAGATAGCGTAGCCTTTTGGAAAGCTAAATGTACTTTCCCCAATTAACCTATACACAGCCATTGTAATCCTATTGTCTTTCAGTTAACATTTGAACTTCTAGTTCCCAGTTTTCACCATTTTACAAAGTATACAGAGCTCAACTTGAACTCTTTTTGGTGAGAAGTCTAGAATGCAAAGAGACACTGTTATCATGAATTTATTTTAAATTTCCTGCCTGCTGTTACCCAATGGCCTTTTAGGCATCACCAGATATTCTAAATAAACTCTATGAATTTATTCAGGAACTCGGGATACTTTGCACCACATAATTTAGACTGAATTTTACAATCTAAAAGGCAGCTTTTAATTTCCTGCTGTAATTTTTTACTTCTCTGGGTTTTTATTCCCATTGTTCTTTTTTCTTATATTTAAAGACTCACCTGAAAAGACCTAATGCAACATTTCACACTGCTATTCCATCACCTGCTCTGTTAATAAAGATATTAAGCCTGGAAAGAGCAATCCCACTCAAGCCCCAATTCCAGCTTCACATATTGTTTTTACTGTGCCCTCTTTATCTATAGATCCTGAGCCAGTTTTCATTGAATCGTTTCATTTAGTGATTGCTCATGTTTAAGTCTAATCTGAATTATTTAAAATTGCATGAATAATTGGCAAAGGATTTGATAATGTTCAAATATAACTGCCTTCCCACAAACGAGTGATTTTATAATTCTATCAAAACTGCAATTGGTTTTGTCAGAGCAATTTTTTTCATAGAACCCATTGCTTACTCCAAATTACAATTCCTATAGCTTTAGACATTTGCATCTTCTTTTAATGTTTCTGACATTATGTGGTGGTGCTGAAGTTAAACAGTTTTATTGCTGTCCTTCATGTTTAAATATGATGTTATACTACTCTATGTACAAGAACAGCTGAAAAGACTGAAAGTGGTCTGCAGTGTTTATCTGAATGTTACACACCAAATATTTATCAAATATTCTCTAATGGGCTGGGCACAGTGGCTCACACCTGTAATCCCAGCAATTTGGGAGGCTGAGGCGGGCGGATCACTTGAGGTCAGGAGTTCAAGACCATTCTGGCCAACATGGTGAAACCCCATCTCTACTAAAAATACAAAAATTAGCCCGGCATGATGGCACACGCCTGTAATCCCAGCTACTCAGGAGGCTGAGGCAGGAGAATGGCTTGAACCTAGGAGGCGGAGGTTGTAGTGAGCCAAGATTGCACCATTGCACTCCAGCCTGGGACTGAGCAAGAAAATAAAAATAAAAACAAAAACAAAAACAAAACATATATATATGTTCTCTAATGGGCACCACTACTTATGTGTTTGGTTTTCCTCTGGAGACAGCATGGAATTTATGCTGGACTTGAGCCACTCACATCTCCAATTACAGTATCTCAGCATAATCTTCCTGTTACTGTCAATTCCTAGTAATAACCTACTAGGTCCCATAATCCACACTGGTATTTTTGCTGAGACATTTGCATTTGGTTCTTACAACTGTGGGGTATCTTTTTGTCATAATAATTACTGCTGTTGTTACCATTTCATTGTCATTATAATCATCATCATCAGGCAATGTATTCTAAACTTTTCTATATGCTAGATTAAAAATGCACATATTACAGAGAAGGCTCATTTTCTGCTCTTGAAAGAAAATGAAATATTTTGGTAGATTTCTCTTACCACTAATCTTGTTTCACTGATAACTGTTAATACCATTTATTATTATGTGCCATATGCCAGTTTACTCAATTTACAAGCATTATTTTATCTAATCTTCAAAGGGGAAAATTTTCTCTGCACTTAACAGATGATCAGTTGAAATCCAGTGAAGGTAGGTAACTTCCTCAAGGCCACACAGCAGCGCATTGATGAAGCCACCCTTTAATTCTTATGGGTAAAGGACATGTAGGGAGAGAAGGGCTTCTGACCACAAGAGAGACAAGGGGAGGTGGAGTTCATATTATGTTGGTAGAATGAGTAGAGTATGAGGCAAATAGGAAGCTCAAGGAGGCGAGAGAAAGGAAAATCTCCTTAGTGGACTGAAGGAGAGCTAGCAGGGAAGGACAAAGGAAGGAGTAACATTGTTATAAAGGTCATTAGTTCATTAATGTAAAAATCCCTCTTGGTGTTATTTAATACTTTCATCTTGTTTCAAAATTCATCTGATTTTAATGCAACAATTATACTGAATGGGCTGAGCTTAGTAGAATACAATTATAAAACACATTTATACTATGTCACCACTCCTCAGTGAACTTGCTCCATCAAACAGACCATTCCTTGCCCTTGGGTGAAATCTTGGACAAGTCTCACAGTTCTTTAGATCACTTGTAGGTAACACATAAACTGTCTTTTTGTTTTTGACATTTAGAGACCCAATCCAGTGTGATAATGAGAACTCCAAACTCCATCTTACTTAGTTTTTTCCTTCTGCAGGCTTGGGTCAGCTCTAGTCATGAAAGTCTGCAATAGGTCATAGAGACGTGGTCAACTTCTCCCTCATTTGCTCACTTTCTTGCTTCAGGGCTAGGTCTGTAGAAAAGGGACTTGGTATTGTCTACTGGTAGTATCGCGATCTAGATGTTCCAAGCTGACTCTTCAATGCTGTGGGTTTCTCAGAGATACCCACAGTGGAAATGTCCCACTGTTGATCCCTTGATATCAGCTGGCTGCTTTCGACACTTCCTTCAGTCCTGGGCTCCAATGAGGTGGGGGCCATCATCCTTCCCACGAGTCCTTTAGGACTAGTGTTTTTCTCAAACAGCTGAAAAATTATACAGTGTATTCCTGTTGTTAGTGGTTTCCCTTATTATTTTAACATTCATATTTTTAAGATCAGCTCTAACAATGTCTAGCATGAGTCAGAATCTGTATCCACTAAACAATCTTAAGAATCATAACAACATTTTACTGCCCTCTGCACTCAACCAATTCACCCATGTTGACTTAAATTTTCTTGGATTTTAATTACTGATTGTAATTAACCTTTTACAATTTATGCTAGTTTCCAGGGTACAAGACCAATTTTTTTTTGAGGCGGAGTCTCTCTCTGTCACCAGGCTGGAGTGCAGTGGTGTGATCTCCACTCACTACAGCCTCTGCCTCCTGGGTTCAAGCGATTCTCCTGCCTCAGCCTCCCGAGTAGCTGGGGTTGCAGGTGCGCACCACCACACCCAGCCAATTTTTGTATTTTTAGTAGGGCTGGGGTTTCGCCATGTTGGCCAGGATGATCTCGATCTTCTGACCTCATGATCCACCCACCTCAGCCTCCCAAAGTTCTAGGATTACAGGCGTGAGCCACCGCACCCGGAACAAGACCAATTTTATAATTTTGTTTTCCTAAACAAATGACCATCTTCCTCTGGATTCCACATACTTTCTTTACTTTGAAGAATTCCTAAAAGCAGATTGGGGTGGTTATCATTGGGAGAAGCAGACAGCACAGTGGGCAAGACCTCTGTGGCTAAGCTCACTGCTCTTCACTGCGGGCTGAGAAGGAGCATTTTTTTTACCTTCCTTTGTTTTCTGACCTGCTGTCATCTGAACATGGTCTTGGCTACTGTTCAAGCCCCTACACCCTACCCCACTTCTTATTCTTTATTTTACTCTCCAGCACTTCCTGTTATTTATTTAATGATTTTAATGTAGAATTCATGGAGGTAGGGAGTTTATTTGTGTGTTTCACTGCAGTCATAAAGCACTTCTCACTCCTAGCCCGGATCCATGAGTTACCTGCCTCAGTCATTGCCCTTAGATAAAGTAAGAAGTTACTTGGTCCATTGTGCCTTAAGGCTCTGGATACTTTGAGATCCTGCTTGTCCCCCTCCACATGGTCAGGCAGAACAGTACTTCCTTATGGTCTATTGCCACCCTGTCTATTGCTTTCACTTCTTAGCTGCCAGTAATTCTCCAGGCGGTTGGAGGAGATGGTGCCTTTTTGGGCTCCCCAATCTCGGGCTCTGGCATCCTCTAGTGGCCATTGACAGCCATGCAACTTCAGCACTGAGTTCCGGGCCTTTGCCTCCTGGCTTCCTCCCAGGTCTCATTGGTAACAATCCAACTGCAGGAGAAAAGATAAAATTGAAAAGGCGAACTCAGCACACTCTCTTCCCATCACCTCCAACATTGTCCCTTCCCCTGCTAGCACTCCTGAAGAAATTCTCAGGCAACTTGGAGACACGCCAATCTTCCTGATTTAGAAGTGTTTGTATCTGGTTTTCAGGCAAGGCACAGAGGGCTGTCTTCTAGGTCTGGAATTTACGGAGGAAGCTGAAGGTGAATAGTGCCTCCCTTTAGCAGTGGACAGACAGGAAACCTCTCTGGCTCCATAGAAGCATTAAGCTGCAGGTTCAGAGTCCCTATCAAATGACACGACTACCAACACTATCTGAAGACTTGCCAGGGAATGTGTGTGTCAGTGACCTTTATCTGCAGGTCAGGTGCCTCCACCTAATACTAAAAGGAGACTATTTAGCTGTGAGGTTTTAGTTCCCAGAAGGACTCCAGTGGGACTTAGTGGGAGGAGGAGGTCATGCATGTTGTTAATAGCTTGGACTTGCCTTTTCTCCAAAGGGCCCCATCTGCTCCTTGCCCAGTGCTCCAGCCACAGGGAATGGTATTCCACCTTCTCGTGGCCGTGGGGTTAGTCGGGGGAACTTCTTCTAAGTAGGTAATTAGAGACTCAGATGCTGGGCAGATCTGCACCTCACATGACAAAGGATGCCATCACGGGAAGAGGAGGGCCTGCTCTTGCCACCCTGTGGCAAGTCAGGGCAAGTCAACAGCAAGTCAAAAGCTCATGACCAGTGATCTCCTAGAACAGAGAGTGGCAAAGTGTGGCCTGTGGGTCAAACCCAGCCTGCCTCCCATTTTTGTATGGTCCGTGAGCTAAGACTGCTATTTACAATTTTAAGTCATTGAAGAAAATCAAAAGAAGAATAAAACTTCATGATGCATGAAAATTATATGAAATTGAAATGTCCAAGTCCATAAATAAGGTTTTACTGGGACACAGCCAAACTGATTTGTTTATACATTGTCTACAGATGCTTTAGTATCACAGTGTCAGAACTGAATAGCTGCAGCGGAGACCACAGGATCTACAAAACCCAAAAGATTTTCTCTCTGGCCCTTGATAGAAAAAATTTGCTAACCTTTTCCCTGTAAGACGCGTGCCCTTGAATTCATCACAGACTTTGAGGGGACCTGATTGGATGAAGTAAAGAATTCATTCTGGAGCCTCATAGAGAATGAGTTTACATTGTGAAGGCCCTAACTGAAGATCTTGTATTTAATCCATTAGTCCTTGGGGAGCCTTCAAAGTTGGTGCCAAGATAAAAGCAGCACATTCTAGAGAATGGCATCAATGGGTGGGAAGAACTGAATGAGAGGAGAATTCTAAGGTAGGGATACCAGTGGTGAGGCATAAGTGTTGAGAGCTTAAAGAGTGTCCAGGAAGAGGAAGAACTGGTTAGTGGTAGAATGCTGGGACAATGGCAGAGGGGAGCAGACAGGCTGTGATCAAAGAAGTAGAGAAAAGGAAGCTGAAGCCATACACAGAATGTAGTCATGAGACACAAAGAGCCTGTGTCTGTGAGACATCAGAACACTTCCAAGGGTAATGAGACTTTGCCAGCTGGCATCACTCGTAACCCAGAGGATCTTGCAGGTAGATTTACTTTTGCTTTCCACTAGCATCTTTAAACATACAATTTAGCACCTGACAGATTATGGACAGGGAGCAAAGAGAAGTAGTTTGAGATTGATGGGCATCATTATGCAAAATCATAGGTAGAAATGGCTGGGGAGCTCTCTAATTCAATAAGTCTCTTCCTAATCCCCCCGAAGTAATAAAGCTTCTGCCCAGACACCTCTGGGCTCCTTGCCATACTTTTCCATTGGATTAACATTTACTGGCATGATCAGAGTTATTAAAGGGAGAAAATCATCATAATTTTCCAAAGACAATAAGGCTCCATAAGTGTTCGTATAAAATTATGTCAGAAGATATTCTATTATTTCAGCTTTGAGAAGTTATATGAGAAAATATTTTCACTGCAGGAAAGGGGAAAACCTTGAAGCTATTTTTTTTAAAGAAAGTACATTGCAAAATGAAAATAACTTCATGATACTGCTTGAAGTTGATATGGGGTAGTATTTCCACTACTCAGAGCTCATTCTCAGTTTGTAAACGTCTTAGCAATTATGAGGTCCAAATTAAACTTTGAGTTTAAGACTTCAGCGAAGTGAACCTCAATGGAAACTATAATTGATTTTTATCTTTCACATTTTTGTTTTAGCATAGACAGATTTTCTACAAGAGTGGTCTGGCCAGCAGTGGTGGCTCACCACCTGTAATCCCAGCATTTTGGGAGGCCAAGGTGGAAGGACCACTTGAGGTCACAAGCTCAAGATCAAGGGTGCTTTAACAGCAGCTTAGATCTTTGTAACAGACATAGATGGGATTTTTTAATAACAATCCATTGTTATAAAATAGTTGCATAGCGTAAATTTGGGATAAGTTCCTAAGATTTTTGTATGTTTTTCTCTTAACACTGTCAAATTTCTCACACAACAATTAGCTCATCAATGTCCTTCTATAGGACTTACTCTCCTAAAATATTTTTTAAATGATGTTATATTGAAGTCTATAAAACACGAAGACTTTCTGAGATTTTTAGCCATAAAGAAACAACAATGTCCATAGCATATCCAATGCTATACTAAGAGCAATGACCAGGATGTGATTAAGACTTTCAGAACACCTAAACTCCATCCGATGTAAAAGGCTGCAAATGGCTTTTAAAACCATTATTTTCAGAGGAAATTCTTAACATGAAAACTTAAACATTTTAACTGTATGAACAGAAATAACACACTGAAAAAAGTAAAGAGAGAAAAATTTAAAAATAGGAAAGATATATGAATAAAGGTTTAAAATAGAGAAGACTGGGCCACTCTTCTTGTTCTTTCTGTCTTTGCCTCTCCCTGCATTAAATTATTCACATAAATTCTCCTTCCCTGCAAGAAGCTGTCAATGAAGTTCTTGGTTTCTGGCTCCAGTTGGTGGCTATTGCTTAAAATGCAGTATTGTCTTTGGGAAAAAAAGCAGTCAGATAAAGTAAATAAATGATAATTGCCAAGATAATCTATAGGAATTTGAGAGTTCTTAGAAGAGCATTTTATCCAGGCTATTATTTCAAAACAATATAACACACCTAAACAGAGAAAATAAATAATAGCAGAAGTGTTAAGTGTTCAAACTTTGGGGTCAGAGGGTTTTATTCTGAATTCTGCCACTTCCTAGTTTACTCGAATGAATGAGTTAACCTCTCTAAGCCACAGACTCATAATTTATAATATAGGAATAATATTATAATGAATTAAATTGTATTCACATGTCACATGTAAGTAAACATATATATTAATATTAATGCTGCCTTATAGGATTGTTTAGAGGACTAACTGAAGTACAACAATAATGTTTAACATGGCATTTTGCACATAAGCACACAATAAATATAAATTATTATTAGATTTATGCTTCTAACAACATCGTCTTCTAAAGTGTAACAATGAAGCAACTGGCTACTTTTGCATGATAACAAGGTTTTGACTCCAATTTTAATAATAAACACTACAATTTTCAAGTATCAATTCTGCACCTGGTGCCCTATATACTGCATCTCATTTAATTCTCGAAGAACTCCACTATATTAGTCTGTTCTCACACTGCTATGAAGAAATACCTGAGACTGGGTAATTTATAAAGTAAACAGGTATAATTGACTCACAGCTCCACATTGCTGGGGAGGCCTCAGGAAACTTACAGTCATGGTGGAAAGAAAAGGAGAAGCAAGGACCTTTTTCACAGGGTGTCAGGACAAAGTGAGCAGGGGAAGCAGGGGAAATGCCAGATGCTTATAAATCCATCAGATCTCATGAGACTCATGCACTGTCATGAGAACAACATGGGGGAAACCTCCCCCATGATCCAATTACCTCCACCTGGTCCTGCCCTTGATACATAGGGATTGTGGAGATTACGGGGATTACAATTCAAGGTTAGATTTTGGGTGGAGACACAACCAAACAATATCATCCACTGAATAAGTATTATCATTCTCACTGTATAAATTAGAACCCTGAACTCTAAGAAGTTAAATAACTTTCTCAGAGTTTCACGGGTTGATACTGTAAAAACTGGAATTAAATTCAGAGAGCTCTGATTTCATAGTCCATGTTATAGGACAAAGATAGCAGATAGGTTTTAATTCAAATTTCAAATTGGGAACACAAAAAAAAATCCATCAAAAGTCATGTCAAAAGGATTTAGAATAGCATTTGAGAGGGCTCATACTGGCCAAAAATGACAATCTCAGCATCAAAAACAATAATGGCTACCATAGTTTAAACACATAAAATGTATTAAAAATCAAGGGTGTATTTTAATTCTCTTATTTTTAAAAAATTCACTTCACATTTTTTGGAAGCTACTATGGCACCAGCTCATTATTCTGAAAACTTGTGAATAAAGGGGGAAAATAAGCATTTATTTTGCTTTTTCACTTTGAGTGAATGCGGTATCTATTTCCCCTGAAAATATCCACGGGAAAGCATTCCAGGCAAGTGAATATGCCTGGCATATTCAAGAAACAGCAGCGGGGCCATGTGGCTGGACCCTCAGAAAAAAAGGAGAGAGTATTGTGAGATGACGTCAGAAGGCAAATCGGGGTGGGAGTTCGTGTAGAGCCTTTTGGGCCATTATAAGATTTTTGGCTTTTACTTTGAGGGTAATAGGGAGCTATTGCAGGGTTTTGAATACGGAAATAACACAATTCAACTTGTAGGTTAATAGCGTCACTCTGCTGTGCTGAGTCTAGGCTGGGCGTGGGTGCGGGGCGGAATGTGAAAGCAGAGAGTTCAGTTAGGAGGTTTAATATAGTTTGGATGTTGTCTCCACCCAAATCTCATGTCGAAATGTCATCCACAATGTTAGAGGTAGGGCCTCTTGGGAGATGACTCAATTATAAGGGTGGATTTCCCCCTTGGTACTGTCGTTGTGATAGTGAGTGACCTCTCTTGAGATCTTGTCATTTAAAAGTGTTTAGTATCTTCCCCCCTCATTTGCTGGCTCCTGCTTTTGCCATGTGAAGTGCCTGCTCCCGTTTTGCCTTCCGCCCTGGGTAAAAGCTCCCTGAGGCCTCCCCAGAAGCAGATGCTTCCATGCTTCCTGTACAGCCTGCAGAACCGTGAGTCAATTAAACCTCCATAAGGCTTTTTATGACCCCAATAAGGGCAGCTTTAGTGGCATGGTGAAGGTGAAAGGCTGATTAGAGAGGGTTCAAGAGTGAAGGAGAGGAGAGAAACTTCTGTTTGATTTGGTTTGGTTGTTTGTTTTCACGATTGGAGAAATAATGTCATGCTTATATTAGAAACATGAGAAACATACAGAAGAGAGAGAAAGAAATTATCAGTGTGGGAGAAGGAGGAGGAAAGTTGCTAGAGTGATGTCATTGGGTAGGCAATAGTGGATGGAAAAGGTTGGCTCTTGGTTTTTGACATGCTTTCCTCACTAAGCTTCATCATTTCTGGTTTTTCATTTAAAGCAAGAGACATGTGAGTCTTCCTTTCACTTGAATACTTAGAAATGCCATCGTAGTGATATTAATTGGCCTAATTTCAACAGTGTGTCTCAGGTAACAGAGAGGTCTCAGAAGGAGAGAGATGAGGGAACAGCGGGTCAGTAGAGAAGTCAGAACCCCCACAATATTCATCACTTAATTTCCCTTTTATATAGGCATCGTTTGTAGCACGTCAAAACAATTACAATAGTAATATCAAAGATGACTAATCACAGATTACCATAATAGACATAATAATAATTAAAAAGTTGAAAATATTGCAAGAATTACCACAATGAGACACAGAGACACAAAGTGAGCACATGCTGTTGGTAAATGGCACCAATAGACTTGCTCGATGCAGGGTTACCACAAAATTTCACTTTGCAAATATATATATAATAACTACAAAGTGCAATAAGATGAAATGCAATTAAATGAGGTATCCCTGTATAATTTGCAATATTCGGGTTATACTTGTACTAAGAAATGATTCATTGTTTCTCTGAAATGCAAATTTGGCTACGGGTTTTATATTTTTATTTGCTACACACTGCAATCCTAACTAAAAGAGGTAGCAGGTCTGCTCTCACTCATCCCTTGCCTTCTTACCCTACTGCATTCCTACTACCTCACCTATATTATTCTGCCAATATGAGTAATTGTCAGAAAGGCAGGTAGGCCACAGGAGGAAGTGAAAGAGGGAGAGACAGATGAGAGAGCAAGAGAAGAGAGAGGGAGGAGAGTGGGAAAAGAAGAGAGGAAGGAAATCAGAGGGAAGGAAAAGAAAAAGACAGAGGAAGAGACCCAAGATGAGAAATGATATGACAGCTATGAGGAACTGAAAGAAATCTAGTATGGCTGGAGTGGAGTGATCAAGGGAAGAGTATTAGGAGATATGGCTAGAGAGAAAGCAAAGGAGAACTGACCAGCTATACCCAGAAGTCACATGGATGCCATTGTGAACATGTCTAAGGTCACAGTTGCTTCCTGTTTGTGTCTGGTAAATTATTGCTAATAAAGTCTACCATAGCTGCTGAGAGCAGGGCTCCCAGAGCACTCACCACTGTGGAGCCTCTTCTGGGCACTATCACACGTGAGCTACTAATGCCTAGGTCCACAAAGAGACAGCTGGAAGATCTCATCTGCCCGCATCACCTGTGAATGCATCCTTATGTGGTAAGTAAACTCAATAGCTTTCTTAAATAAAAACTTTTTTGCTTTAGAAGAGTTTCAGACTTACAGAATAGTTGCAAAAATAGCACAGAGTTTCCCCATGCCCCCTACAGAGATTCCCCTTTTGTTAACATCTTACATTTGTATGATACGTTTGTCACAACTAATGAACCAATATTGATACATTATTATTAATGAAAGTCCATACTTCATCCTGATTCCCTTAGTTTTTACCTAATGTCCTTTTTTAATTCCAGGATATAATATTACATTCATTCGCCAGACGCGGTGGCTCATGCCTGTAATCCCAGCACTATGGGAGGCCGAGGTGAGCGGATCATGAGGTCAGGAGATCGAGACCGTCCTGGCTAACACGGTGAAACCCCATCTCTACTAAAAAAAAAAATACAAAAAATTAGCCGGGCGTGGTGGCGGGCACCTGTAGTACCAGCTACTCAGGAGGCTGAGGCAGGAGAATGGCGTAAACCCAGGAGGCGGAGCTTGCAGTGAGACGAGATCACGCCACTGCACTCCAGCCTGGGTGACAAAGCAAGACTCCATCTCAAAAAAAAACAAAAAACAAAAAAAACACAATACATTTATTTATTTATTTATTTTAGAGACAGGGGCCTCACTATGTTGCCCAGGCTGGTCTCAAACTCATGGCCTCAAGCGATCCTCCCACCTTAGCCTTCCTAGGCACTGGGACTACAGGAATGAGCCACTGTGCCCAGCACCATCCCACATTTAGTCATCTTGTTTCCTTAGTCTCCTCTAAACAATGACAGTTTCTCAGACTTTGCTTCTTTTGAACAATCTTCACAGTTTGAGGAGGACCAGTGAGGTATTTTGTAGAATGTCCCTTGGGGTTTTTCTCATGACTGGACAGGGATTTATGAGTTTGGGGGAGAAAGACCATGAAAGTAAAGTACGATTCTCATTACACCATATCAAGGGTATGTATTTATGAACATGATTATTATCACTGTTGGTGTTGACCTTGATCACCTCTCTGAGGTAATGTTTGTCAGGTTTCCCCGTTGTGAGATTACTCGCTTTTCCCCTTTTTCATACTGTATTTTTGTAAAGGAAGTAACTATGCACAGGCCAGACATGGTGGCTCGCGCCTGTAATCCCAGCACTTTGAGAGGCTGAAGCGGGTGGATCACCTGAGGTCATGAGTTCGAGACCACCTTTGCCAACATGGTGAAACCCCGTCTGTATGAAAAATACAAAATTTAGCTGGCATAGTTAATCCCAGCTACTCAGGAGGCTGAGGCAGGAGAATCGCTTGACTCCGGGAGGTGGAGGTTACAATGAGCCAAGATCCCGCCACTGCACTCCAGGCTGGGCGACAGAGTGAGATTCCATCTCAAAAAAAGAAAAAAAAAAAGGAAGTAATTATGTACAGCCCACACTTCAGAGGTGGGAAGTTATGCTTTGCCTCCTTGACAGCAGAGTATTTACATAAATTATTTGCAATGAGCCTGCACAAAAAATTTGTATATTCTCCCTCATTTTATTCAATCATTTCTTTATAACGATATGGCCTCATAGATATTTATTTTATAGTTTGGGTTAGAATCCAGTACTATGTTATTTCATGACTCATATTGTTCCAGTTTTGGCCATTGGGAGCTCTTTCAGTTGGCCCCAGTGTCCCTTTGATATACCCCATTGTGTGGTTTTTATTTCAATAAGCACTTCCTTGCCTTCTGGCATTACAGGATGCTACAGGATCATCCTATATAGTCCCAGATCCAGCTCTAGAATAATCTATTTCACTAAGGAGCTGGTTCCTTCATGGAACAGTCTTAGAAGCCAAGATCTGGGTGCTGGGTGTGTTAATTTCTTGTGGGGTGTAATTGCTTCTGGGCCCTCTTAGCTGACAGAGCAAGGGAAAATATGTGTGTGTACTAACCCACTTATATACACATATTTATAAATAGTTCCGTATGTATCAATCTGTATGGATGTTAAGCTAAATATGAGTTTATACAGATTAATCCTTGACCACGTGGATCATTTCAGCCTTTGCCTCCCTGCTGTCTGTAACCTTCCACTCCAACAATCAGAAATCTTTGTTCCCATCCATCATTCATTTACATAATTCCAGTATACATTTATAGTGACTTCAGAAATGTTAACTCAGTCCAGCATGAGAAATTACTTTACCAAGTAGAGTGTGATGCTCAGGTACAGTTCTTTTGCTGTCAGTCTTAGTCTCCACTCATTCCAAAGCGAGGTTAGTATCTCCTCCCTCCCCATTCCCTAAAATATAGTTTATTTTTTTCTCACAGCCTGCATTCTATCCTAAGATCCCAACCACAAAAATGATTTTTTTAATTGCTAAACTAAGGTTCACTGTTTATGCTGTAAAGTTCTATGAGTGGGTTTTAACCTATACATAATGTCATGTATCCACTATTATAATGCCATGCATAATCATCACCACATTAAAAGATCCCCTGTCTTTCACCAATTCAGCCCTCCCCACTCCAAAAACTTCTGGCAACCACTGATCTGTTAACCATCTCTATAGGTTTCCCTTTCCAAAATGTCATACAGATTGAATTATACAGTATGTTGCCTTTTTCAGACTAGCTTTTCTTTTTCTTAGCAACATGCATTTAAAATTCACCCATTTTGTGGGGGTTGATAGCTCATTCCTTTTTATAGCTGAAGAGTATTTCATTTTATGGATATACAGTTTGTCTATGCACTCCCCTATTCAATGACATATTAATTACTTGCAGTTTTTGACAATTATGGATAAACCTGCTATAAACATTGCAGGTTTTTGTGTGAACATAATTTTCAGATCAGTTTGGTAAATACCTAAGTGCAAGATTGCAGCATCACATGGAAAGACTATGTTTAGCTTTGTAAGAAACTGCCCAATTTTCTTCCAAAGTGGCTGCATTATTTTGCATTCCTACCAGCAATGAGTGAGAATTCCTCTTGCTCTGCATCCTTGCCATCGGTTAGTATTGTAATTTTTTTAAAATTTAGCCATTCTAGTAAGTGCATAGTGGTATCTCATTTCTTTTAATTTGCAATGATAAATGATGTTGGGCATCTTTCCATATACAGATGGTCCCCAACTTAGGATGGTTTGCCTTATAATTTTCAACTTTACAATGGTGGGAAAATGACACATATTCACTGAAAACTGTACTTGGAGTTCCCATACAGCCATTCTGTTTTTCACGTTCAGTACAGTATTCAACAAATTCCATGAGATATTGAACACTTCATAATAAAATAGGTTTTGTGTTAGATAATTTTTCCCAATTGTAGGCTAGTGTAGATGTTGTCAGCAGATTTAAGGTAGGCTGGGCTAAGCTATGATGTTCAATAGGTTAGGTATATTAAGTGCATTTTTTTTACTCACGGTATTTTCAACAACAGATTTATCAAGAGGTAACCCCATTGTAAGTTTAGGGCATATGTATTGATTTGCCATCTATATATCTCCTTTGGTGAGGTGTCTGTTCAGATATTTTGCTAATTCTTCTATTGAGGTAAAATTCACATAACATAAAATTCACAGTTTTAATCATTTAAAGTGTAGAATTTAGTGGTTTTAAGTGCATTTGTAATGTTGTACAGTCATCATCAGTGTCTAACTCCAGAACATTTTTATCACCCACAAATGAGATAGCATACTCATTAAGCAGTTACTCCCTAGTCTATCTTCTCCCCAGCCCCTGGTAAGCATTAATCTGTGCTCTGTCTCTATTTTGAATATTTACTATAAATGGAATCATACAATATGTGTCTTTTGTGTCTGGCTTTTTTCACTTAGCACGTTTTCAAGGTTCAACCATGTCACAGCATGGATCGATAATTCATCTACTGATGAATGGATAAAAATTATAGCATATTCATTCAATGTGATATTTTTCAGCCACAAAATGCAATGAATTACTGGGTTGTTTCTACTTTTTTGGCTATTATGAATAATGCTGCTATGAATATTTGTGTATGTCTTTGTATGAATATATGTTTTCAATTTTTAGGGTATATATCTAGGAGTGGAAATGCTGAGTAATATGGTAATGCTATGTTTAACTTTTTGACGAACTGCTAAATTGTTTTTCCCAGTAACTGTACTATTGTACACTCCCACCAGGAATGTATGAGGGTTCCAATTTCTCTAGACCTTTGCCCACACTTAATTTTTTCTGTTTTTGTTTTTATATAGCCATCCTAAAGTGTATGAATTGGTATATCATTATCATTTTGATTTGCATTTTTCCAATAACCAATGCCATTAAGTATCTTTTCATGTGCGTACTGGCGATTTGTATATCTTATTTGGAGAAATGTCTCTTCAGATCCTTTGCCTATTTATTAATAAAGATGCCTTTTTGTTGAGTTCTAAAATTTCTTTATATATTAAATATACTAGAACCTTATCAGATATGATTTGCAAATATTTTCTTCCATTCTATGGGTTGTCTTTTTATTTTATTGATAGTGCACAAAAGTTTTTAATTTTGATAAAGTTCAATTTTTATCTATTTTTTTGTTTTGTTGCTTGTGATTTGGTGTCATGTCTAAGAATTCATTGCCAAATCCAAGGTCATGAAGATTTACTCCTAGGTTTTCTTCTGAAAGTCTTATAGCATTAACTTTTACACACATCTTGGATTAATTTTGAGTTCATTTTTGTACATGGCGTGAGGATCCACTTTTTTGCATATGGATATACAGTTGTCCAAGCATCATTTGTTGGAATGACTACTCTTTCCCTCATTGAATGATCTTGGCACCCTTGTCAAAAATCAATTGGCCATAGTTGTATGGGTTTATTTCTGGATTCATAATTCTAGTCCATTGGTCTCTATTTATCCTCATGCCAGCACCTGTAGCTTTACACTAAGTTTGAAATGCTTAGTCCTCTACTTGTTCTTCTTTTTCAATATTGTTTCAGCTATTCAGGGTCCCTTGCGATTCCATATGAATTTTAGGATCAGCTTGCTTGCTTTTGCAATAAAAGGCAGATTCTAGAGGTATTGTATTCAATGCATAGATTACTTTGGAAAGTGTGATGATTTTAACAATATGAAGTTTTTTAATCCAACACATAGTAGGCATTTCTGTTTAATTTATTTAATGTCTTTCAGCAATACTTTATAGTTCTCATTGTACAAGTTGCACCTCCTTGGCTAAATTTGTTCTAATGTATTTTGTTCTTTTTGATGCTAGTGTAAATGAACTGTTTTCTTAATTTCTATTCAGATTTGTCACTGCTAGGTTATAGAAATAAGATTGGTTTGGGTGTGTTGATTTTGTATCATACAATGTTTTTGTGTATTCTCTAGAAGATCCTGGATTTTCATGTGATCATGTTATCTGCAAACACTGACAGTTTACTATTCCCTTTCCAAGTGTGGATACCATTTATTTCTTTTTCTTGCCCAGTTGCTCCAGCTAGAATTTCAAGTACAATGTGGTGAAAGCAGGCATCCTTGTCATAATCCTGATCTTAGAAGAAAAGCTTTCAGTCATTCACCATTAAGTATGATGTTATCTGAGGGTTTTTCATAGTTGTCCCGTATAATGTTAAGGAAGTCCCCCCCTTCTAGTACTAGTTTATTGAGTGTTTTTATCATGAAAGGATGTTGGATTTTGTCAAATACTTTTACTTCATCAACTGAGATAATCGTGCGGGTTTTTTCCTTGATTCTCTTAACATTAGGTATTATCTCAATTGAGTTTTGTATGTTGAACCACCTCTACATTCCAGGGCAGGGGCAGGAGGGGACAAATTTCACTTGGTCATGGTGTATAACTTTTGTAATATGCTACTGGAATTGGTGTGCTAATATTTTGTTGAGGATTTTTGCATCTATATTCATAAGAGATATTGATCAATAGTTTTGTTATGATGTCATTTATGGGCTTTCATAGCAGGGTAATATTGGCCTCATAAAATGAGTTAGAGAGTATTCTCTCTCCTCTTCTATTTTTTGGAAGAAATTGAGAAAATTGGTATTAATTATTCTGTAAACATTTGGTAGAATTCACCAACAAAGCCATCTGGATGTGGGCTGAGATTATGGGCACCTGCCACCAGGCCCAGCTAATTTTTGTATTTTTTGGTAGAGATGGGGTTTCACCATTTTGGCCAGGCTGGTCTCGAACTCCTGACCTCAAGTGATCCACCTGCCTCAGCCTCCCAAAGTGCTGAGATTACAGGTATGAGCTGCCACGCCTGGCCAATTTGTTGTCTTTTAAAGATTCAACTTTAGATTTTGTTGATTCTATTGTTTTTCTGTTCATTATTTTGTTTATCCCCACTCTAATCTCTATAATTTCCTTCCTCTGCTTGCTTGCTTGCTTTGGGTTTAGCTTGTTCTTTTACTGTATGTTGGGAGCAAGCCCCCCAAAATCTGGCCATAAACTTGCCCCAAGACTGGCCGTAAACAAAATCTCTGCAGCACTGTAACATGTTAATAATGGCCCTAATGCCTGAGCTGGAAGGCTGTGGGATTACGGGAATGAGGGCAAGGAACACCTGGCCCGCCCAGGGCGGAAAACTGCTTAAAGGCATTCTTAAGCCACAAACAATAGCATGAGCGATTTATGCCTTAAGGGCATGTTCCTGCTGCAGTTAACTAACCCAACCTATTCCTTTAATTTGGCCCATCCCTTCGTTTCCCAAAAGAGATACTTTTAGTTAATTTAATATCTACAGAAGCAATGCTAATGACTGGTTTGCTGTTAATAAATATGTGGGTAAATCTCTGTTCGGGGCTCTCAGCTCTGAAGGCTGTAAGACCCCTGATTTCCCACTTCACGCCTCTATATTTTTGTGTGTGTGTCTTTAATTCCTCTAGCGCCGCTGGGTTAGGGTCTCCCCGACTGAGCTGGTCTCGGCAATTGTAGTTCCTTAAAGTAGTATGTTAGGTTATTGATTTCTTTCCTACTTTTAAACTGTACGTATTTACGCAATAATTTTCCTTAGCACTGCTTGCACTGCATCCTATAAATGTAAGTATGTTGTATTTTCATTTTAATTTGTTTCACGATATTTTCTGATTTCCCTTGTGATTTCTTCTTTGACTATTGGTTAAGTGTGTTGTTTAATTTCCACAAATTTGTCAAATATCTAGGTTTCTAGCTTTATTTCATTCTGGTGAGAGAAGAAGCTCTCTATGCTTTTTCACACTTTTAATTTATTGAAAATTTTTTTTTATATAACATGTGGCCAATCGTGTAGAATGTCTTGTGTGCACTTGATAAGAGTGTGTATGGTCTTGTTAGATGCAGTGCTCTGTAAGTCTCTGAGGTCTAATTGTTTCACATTGTAGCTTAATTCTTTATTTCTTGATCTTCTGTCTATATGTTCTCAACATTATTGAAAGTGGGGTGTTAAAATTTCCAGCTATTATTATTGACCTATCTATTTCTCCCTTTGACTCTATTTTGTTTTGCTTCATATATTTTGGGGTTCTGTTGTTGGGTGTGTATGTTTTAAATTGTTACATCTTCTTGATGGGTTCACTCATTTATTAATATATAATGCCCTTAGTCTATTTGGTCTGATACTAGTATACCCACAGCTGTTCTCTTTTAGTTATTATTTGCATAATGTATTTTTTCTACTCTTTCACTTTCAACCTATTTGTGTTTTTCCACCCAAAGAGTCACAGATAGCATGTAGTTGGAACATTTTTAAAATTCATCCTACTAATCTCTAATTTTTAACTGGAGATTTCAATTCCTTAACATTTAATGTAATTAATGATAAGTGAGGAATTTCTCTGCCATTTCATTTTGATATTTATTTTCTATGTGTCTCACATCTTTTTATTCCTCTATTCCTCCATTACTGCCACATTTGTGTTTCTTCTTTCTTTTTAAAATTTTATTTTATTTTTAACTGACAATAATTATATATATTTATAGAGTACAATGTGATGTTATGATACATGTATACATTGTGGAATGATTAAATCAGGCTAATTAACATATTCATCATGTCTCACACTTATTATTTTATAGTGTGTTGAGAACATTTAAAATCTACAATCTTAGCAATTTAGTAATTCCCAGTGTCTATTGTTGCCATCTTCATGTCCATGAGTACCTAATGTTTAGCTTCCACTCATATGTGAGAACATGTGGTATTTAGTTTTCTGTTCTTCCATTAATTTGCTTAGCATAATGCCCTCCAGCTGCATCCATGCTGCTGCAAAGGATAAGATTTCATTCTTCTTTATGGCTGTGTAGTATTCCACGGTGTATATTTATCACATTTTCTTTATCCAATCCACCATTGATGGGCACCTAGGTTGATTTCATGTCTTTGCTCTTGTGAATAGTGCTGCAATGAGCATGTGAGTGCGTGTGTCATTTTGGTAAAAAGATTCATTTTCTTTTGGTTATATATTCAGTAATGGGATTAGTGGGTCAAATGGTAGTTCTGTTTTAAATTCATTGAGATATTTCCAAACTATTTTCCACACTGACCGAATTAATTTACATCCCCACCAACAGTATATAAGCATTCCCTTTTCTCCACAGTCTTGCTACCATCTGTTGTTTTTGGCTTTTTTAGTAATAGCCATTCTGAGTGGTGTGGGTTTTGATTTGCATTTCTCTGATGATTAGTGATGTGCAGCATTTTTTTAAATATATATATATATTTTATTATTATTATACTTTAAGTTTTAGGGTACATGTGCACAATGTGCAGGTTAGTTACCTATGTATACATGTGCCATGCTGGTGTGCTGCACCCATTAACTCATCATTTAGCATTAGGTGTATCTCCTAAAGCTATCCCTCCCCCCTCCCCCCACCCCATAACAGTCCCCAGAGTGTGATGTTCCCCTTCCTGTGTCCATGTGCTCTCACTGTTCAATTCCCACCTATGAGTGAGAATATGCAGTGTTTGGTTTTTTGTTCTTGCGATAGTTTACTGAGAATGATGATTTCCAATTTCATCCATGTCCCTACAAAGGACATGAACTCATCATTTTTTATGGCTGCATAGTATTCCATGGTGTATATGTGCCACATTTTCTTAATCCAGTCTATCGTTGTTGGACATTTGGGTTGGTTCCAAGTCTTTGCTATTGTGAATAGTGCCGCAATAAACATACGTGTGCATGTGTCTTTATAGCAGCATGATTTATAGTCCTTTGGGTATATACCCCGTAATGGGATGGCTGGGTCAAATGGTATTTCTAGTTCTAGATCCCTAAGGAATCGCCACACTGACTTCCACAAGGGTTGAACTAGTTTACAGTCCCACCAACAGTGTAAAAGTGTTCCTATTTCTCCACATCCTCTCCAGCACCTGTTGTTTCCTGACTTTTTAATGATTGCCATTCTAACTGGTGTGGGATGGTATCTCATTGTGGTTTTGATTTGCATTTCTCTGATGGCCAGTGATGGTGAGCATTTTTTCATGTGTTTTTTGGCTGCATAAATGTCTTCTTTTGAGAAGTGTCTGTTCATGTCCTTCACCCACTTTTTGATGGGGTTCTTTGTTTTTTTCTTGTAAATTTGTTTGAGTTCATTGTAGATTCTGGATATTAGCCCTTTGTCAGATGAGTAGGTTGAGAAAATTTTTTCCCATTTTGTAGGGTGCCTGCTCACTCTGATGGTAGTTTCTTTTGCTGTGCAGAAGCTCTTTAGTTTAATTAGGTCCCATTTGTCAATTTTGGCTTTTGTTGCCATTGCTTTTGGTGTATTAGACATGAAGTCCTTGCCCATGCCTATGTCCTGAATGGTAATGCCTAGGTTTTCTTCTAGGGTTTTTATGGTTTTAGGATGTGCAGCATTTTTGATGTGTTTTTTTGTATGTCTTCTTTCAAGAAATGTCTGTTCATGACTTTTGCCCATTGTTTAATGGGGTTATTTGTTTTTTGCTTATTCAACTGTATAAAGTCCTTATAGATTCTGAATATAGACCTTTGTCAGATACATAGTTTGTGAATATGTTCTCTCATTCTATAGGTGGTCTGTTTAATTTTTGGTAGTTTCTTTTGCTGTGAAGAAGCTCTCTCTTTAGTTTAATTAGGTCCACTTGTCAATTTTGGGGATTTTTTGCAATTGTTTTTGAGGACTTAGTCATAAATTCTTTCCCAAGTTCTATTTCCAGAATGGTGTTTCCTAGGTTTTCTTCTAGGATTCTTAAAGGCTGAGGTCTTACATTTAAATCTTTAATCCATCTTGAGTTACTTTTTGTGAATGGTGAAAGGTAGGGGTCCAGTTTCATTCTTCTACGTATACCTAGCCAGCCATCCCAGTACCATTAATTTAATAGAGAGAACATTCACATTACTTATTTTTGTTAACTTTGTCAAGGATTAGATGGCTTCTAGTGTGTGGCTTTATTTCTGGGTCTACTATTCTGTTCCACTGGCCTATGTGTCTATTTTTGTACCAGTACTATACTGTTTTGATTATGATAATCTTATAGTATAAAGTAGAGTAATGTGATGCCTCTGACTTTCTTCTTTTTGCTTAGGATTGATTTGGCTATTTAGGTCCTTTTTTGGTTCCATATAAAATTTAGAATAGCTTTTTTCTGGTTCTGTGAAAAATGGCACTGGTAGTTTGATAGGAATAGCATTGAGGCCTTGTGCGGTGGCTCACACCTGAATCCTAGCACTTTGGGAAGCTGAGATAGGTGGATCACCTGAGGTCAGGAGTTCGAGACCAGCCTGGCCAACATGGTGAAACCCCGTCTCTACTAAAAATACAGAAATTAGCCAGGTGTGGTGGCACGTACCTGTAATCCCAGCTACTTGGGAGGCTGAGGCAGGAGAATCGTTTGAACTTACAGGGGTGGAGGTTGCAGTGAGCCAAGATCACGTCACTGCACTCCAGCCTGGGTGACAGAGCAAGACTCCATCTCAAAAAAAAAATTAAAAAATAAAAATAAAAGGAAGAGGAATAGCATTAATCTGTAGATTGCTTTGGGTTGTATGGCCATTATAATGACATTAATTCTTCCAATCCATGAACATGGAAAGGTTTTTCCATTTGTTTGTGATTTCTATGATTTCTTTTTCTTTTTTTCTTTTTTTTTCTTTTTTTTTTTTGTTGTTGTTGTTTTTTGATGGAGTCTCGCTCTGTCGCCCAGGCTGGAGTGCAGTGGCACAATCTCAGCTCACTGCAACCTCCACCTCCTGGGTTCATGCCATTCTCCTGCCTCAGCCTCCCGAGTAGCTGGGACTACAGGCACCCGCCACCACACCTGGCTAATTTTTTTGTATTTTTTAGTAGAGACCGGGTTGCACCATGTTAGCCAGGATGGTCTCACTCTCTCCTGACCTGGTGATCCACCGCCTCAGCCTCCCAGAATTCTGGGATTACAGGCATGAGCCACTGTGCCCAGCCTGTGTCATCTATGATTTCTTTTAGTAGTGTTTTGTAGTTTTCCTTGTAGAAATCTTTCACCTCCTTGGTTAAATGTGTTCTGAGGTATTTTATTTTTTGTGTGGCTATTGTAAATGAAATTGAATTATTGATTCGGTACTCAGACTGAACATCATTGGTATATAGAAGTGATATTGATTTTTGTACATCGATTTTTGTATGCTGAAATATTGTTAAAATTGTTTATCAGTTATAGTAGCCTTTTGCAGAGTTTTCTAAATATAGAATCATATCACCAGTGAAGAGAGATAATTTGACTTCTTCTTTTCCATTTGGATGCTTTTTATTTCCTTCTCTTGCCTGATTGGTCTGACTAGCACTTCCAGTATTATGTTGAGTAGGAGTGGTGACAGTGAGCATCTTTGTCTTACTCTAGTTCTCAAGGGCTTCCAGTTTTTGACTGTTCAGTATGATGCTGGCTGTGGGTTTTTCATTGATAGCTCTTATTATTATGAGGTATTTTCCTTCATGCCTAGTTTCTTGAGGGTCATTATCATGAAGGGATATAGGATGTTATCAAAAGCTATTTCCGTGTCTACTGAGATGATCATATGGTTTTTAATTTTGTTTCTGTGGTGAATCACATTTATTGATTTGCATATGTTAGAACCAACCTTGCATCCCAGTAATGAAACCTACTTGGTCATGGTAAATTAACTTTTTGTTGTGTTGTTAAATTCAGTTTGCTAGTATTTTGTTGCAGATTTTTACATCTATGTTTATCAGGGATCTTTGCCTGTAGTTTTCTTTTTCGTTGTGTCTTTGCCAGGTTTTAGTATCAGGGTGATGCTGGATTCATAGAATAAGTTAGGGAGGAGTCCGTCCTCCCCCATTTTTTAGAATAGTTGCAGTAGAATTGGTACCAGCTCTTCTTTGTACATTTGGTACAATTATTTGGTACAATTTGGCTATGAATCTATCTGGTCTGGGGCTCATTTTGGTTGGTAGGTTTTTTATTACTGATTCAGTCTGGGAACTTGATATTGGTAGTTTCAGTGTTTCAATTTCTTCCTGATTCCATCTTGGGAGATTTTATCATTCTAGGAATTTATACATTTCCTCTAGATTTTCCATTTTGCATGTGTAGAAGTGTTCTGAAAATCTTTTATATTCCTGTGGGATCAGTTGTAATGTCAGCTTTGTCATTTCTGATTGTGCTTATTTGGATCATCTCTCTTTTTTCTTTGTTAATCTAGCTAATGTTCTATTAATCTTGTTTATCCTTTCAAGAAACCAATTGTTTTTTTTTTAATTCTTTGTGTGAATGTTTGGCTCTCAATTTCATTCAGTTTTGCTCTATTTTAGTTATTTATTTTCTTCTGCTAGCTTTGGGGTTAGTTTTTTCTTGCTTTTTTAGTTTCTCTAGCTATGATGTTGATCATTAATTTGAGATATTTCTAACTTTTTGAGATAGGCGTTTAATGCTGTAAACTTTCCTCTTAACACCGCTTTTACTGCAGCCCAGAGATTTTGGTATGTTGTGTCTGTTTTTATTAATTTCAAAGAATTTTTTTATTTCTGCCTTGATTTTGTTGTTTTATAAAAAGTAATTCAGGAGTAAATTATTTAATTTCCATGTAATTGTGTGTTGGGGGGGGCTTTTTTTGTTTGTTTTTGTTTTTCGTTTGTTTGTTTTGAGATTGGAGTCTTGCTCTGTCTCCAAGCCAGAGTGCAGTGGTGCAATCTCAGCTCACTGCAACCTCCGCCTCCTGGGTTCAAGTGATATTCCTGCCTCAGCCTCCCAAGTATCTGGGACTACAAGCATGTGCCACCATGCCCAGCTAATTTTTGTATTTTTAGTAGAGATGGGGTTTCACCATATTGGCCAGGATGGTCTCGACCTCTTGACCTCATGATCCACCTGTCTCGGCTTCCCAAAGTGCCGGGATTACAGGCAAATTGTGTGGTTTTGAGAGATCTCCTTGGTATTCATTTCTATTTTTATTCCACTGTGGTCCAAGAGTATAATTGTTAGGATTTTGAGTCTTGTGAATTTATTGAAACTTGCTTTATGCCTGAACATGTGGTCAATCTTGGAGTATGTTCCATGTGTAGATGAGAAGAATATATATTCTGTGTTTGATGAGCAGAGTATTCTGTAGATGTCTATTAGGTCCAATTGGTCAAGTGTCGAGTTTAAGTCCAGAATTTATTTGTTACATTTCTGTCTTGATTATCTGTCTAACACTGTCAGTGGTGTTTTGAAGTCCCCCATTATCATTATGTGGCTCTCTTAGTCTTTCTGTAAGTCCAGAGTACTTGTTCTATAATATGGATGCTCCAATGTTGGGTGCATAGATACTTAGAACTGGTAAATCTTCTTGTTGAATTGAACTCTTTATCATTATGTAATGCCCTTCTTTGCCCTTGTTTACTGTTGTTGGCTTAAAGTCTATTGTATCCAATATAAGAATAACAACCCCTGCTTTTTTTTGTTTTCTGTTTGCATGTTATATCTTTCTCCAACCCTTTACTTTGAGCCTATGGGTGTTACTACATGTGAAATGAGTCTCTTGAAGACAGCAGACAGATGGGTCTTGGTTTTGTTTTGTTTTGTTTTGTTTGACACAGAGTCCTGCTCTGTCACCCAAACTGGAGTGCAGTGATGCAATCTCAGCTAACTGCAACCTCAGCCTCCCAGGCTAAGGTGATCCTCCCACCTCAGCCTCCCAAGTAGCTGACACTACAGGTGCATGCCACCATGCCTAGTTAATTTTTGTATTTTTCATAGGGACAGGGTTTTGCCATGTTGCCAAGGCTGGTCTTGAACTCCTGGGCTCAAGCAATCCACCTTGGGTCTTGTTTGTTTTTTAATTCAACTTGCCACCCTCTGCCTTTTAAGTGGGATGCTTAGGCCATTTACATTCAAGGTTAGTATTGACATGTGAGGTTTTGATCCTATTATGAAGTTGTTAGCTTGTTGCTTTGTAGTTTTTATTGTGTGGTTGCTTTATGGGATCTGTGGGCTATGTACTTATATGTGCTTTTGTGGTAGTAGGTATCATTCTTTTGCTTCCATGTGTGGAATTCCCTTCAGGATCTCTTGTAAGGCTGGTCTAGTGATAATGAATTCCCTTAGTGCTTGCTTATCTAGAAGAGACTTTATGTAGTTTTAACTTATGAAGCTTATATTGTCAAGATATTAAATTATTGGTTGGAATTTCTTTTCTTTAAGAATACTGAATATAGGCCACCAATCTCTCTTGGCTTGTAGGGTTTCTGCTGAGAAGTCTGCTGTTAGCCTGATAGGGTTCCATTTGTACATGATCTGCCCTTTATCTCTAGCTGCCTTTAAGTTTTTTCTTTAGTGTTGACCTTGAACAATCTGGTGACTGTATGCCTTGGTGATGTTTATTTTGTATGGTATTTTCAGGTGTTCTCTGGGTTTCTTGTATCTGGATGTCTCCCTCTCTAGCAAGATTAGAGAAGTTTTCTCAAATTATTCCCTCAAATATATTGTCCAGGTTGTTTACTTTTTCTCCTTCTTTCTCAAGAATGCTAATAATTTCATAGGTTTCATCACTTTACATAATCCCATATTTCTCAAAGACTTTGTTCATTTTTAGAGTCTTTTTTCTCTATTTTTGTCTGACTGGGTTAATTCAAAAGAGCAATCTTCGGATTCTGAAATTCTTTCTTCTGCTTGGTCCAATTTATCAATAAAGCTTTCTATTGTATTTTCAAATTCCTTAAGTGAGTTTTAAAATTCAAAAGCTGTAATTGATTTCTTTTTAAGATGTTTATCTCTTCCTTCACTTCCTGGATTTCTTTATAAATTTCTTTGTGTTGATTTTTGGTCTTGCCTTGGATCTCATTGAGCTTCCTTGCAATCCATGCTTTGAATTCATCTATCACTTCTGAGTTTCCATTTTTATTAGGGATTATTGCTGGAGAGCTAGTGGAATCCTTTGGTGGTGTCACTACATTCATATTTTTCATGGTGCCAAAAGTCTTGCCCTGGTTCCTTGTCATCTGGAGACACTTGCACTTCTAATTTTTGTAATTATTTTCATGTGGGTAGGATTTTTCTTTTTTTTCACTTTCCCTATAATGTTATTTTTTTCTCTTCCTTTTCCTTTACCCCCTTCCCAGTGGGGAGGGGTAACTGTAGTGAATGCTGGGTAGGGTATTTTGACTTTGTTCTATAGCCCTATGCACTTCTTTCAGAATGTTTTATATTGGGCTGTGCAGTTTAGCTTGCAAGCCCATTAGATGGCGCTTATAGGTAAGAGCTGGCTATAGCCAACATGGCTGGGTATATACTTGATCCTTATTTACTGGCAGAAGCTCTCTGTTGCCTCAGGAAATGGTCTGACTTATGGAACGCACAGTGGTCTCAGCTCCCTGCTCAACCCTGGGGAGGTGTAGGGCCATGAAGGACAGGGGCAGGCTTGGCAGGTGCACCTTCTTTTCTCCCAATAGCAGGCACCAGCACCAGCACTGAGGGAGAATCCAGTGGGCAGCCCACTAAGTGCCCAGAGGTGTGCCTAGGCATGATGTTGGGAAAACTTGGCTCCAGATTCACTGCAAGGGGTTTGGAGATGGCCTAAACTTCTAATCCAAGAGAGTGAGTACTCCAGATGCCTAGAGATCTGCCTGGGTGTGTGGCAGAGAGGGCCCCACACACAAGGATCTCTGCACAGGAAGGGTGGGATGACTCAGACTGCTGAATGAGGCAAGCAGGTGCTCTGAATGCCTTAAGGTCTGCCTAGTTGTGTAGCACAGAGGGCCACCCTGCACCAGGATCTCTGCACAGGAAGGGTAGGATGGCTCAGGCTACTGATCCACGTTAGACAATGCTGCAAATGCTTAGAGATCTGCCTGGGTGTGGTACAGAGAAAGTCCCACTGCACCATGATCTATGTCTGGGAAAGGTGGAGTGGCTCAGGCTGCTGAATCACTCCAAGTGGATACTCCTAATGCCTGGAGATCTGCCTGGGCAAAGGACAAAGAGGGCCCCGAATTCCAAGATCTCTGCACAGGAGGGATGGGGTGGCTCAGGCTGTTGGACTAAGCAAGCAGGTGCTCCACATGTCTGAAGATTTGCCAGCGTGTGGAGCAGAGACAGCCCCACTGCACCATGATCTCTTCATAGGAAGGGTGGAGTGGGTCAGGCTGGTAATACAGGTGAGTGAATGCTCTGAAAGCCTGGAGATCTGCCTGGACATGGTGCAGAGAGAGCCCCACTGCACCATGACCTCTGCACAGAAAGGGTGGGCTAGTCTGCTGAATCAGGTGAATGGGTGCTCCAAATGCCTGCAGATCTACCTGGGTATAGAGCAGAAAGAGCCTGCTGCGAAATATCTATGTCCAGGAAGGATGGGAAAATTCAGGCTGCTCATCCAGGCAAGCAGGTGCTCCAAATGCCTGATTTCAGCCCAGGGGTAGAGCAGAGAGGGCCCTGCTCCATCTCTATCTCAGGAGAGCAGGATGGAGGACCCGGCAATGGCACACACAGACCACTTCCAGGTCACCAAGCTGGCCCTGGCTGCAAATCTTGCCACCCAGGAGAAACTGCAGCTACAGCAGCTCTCCTCCTACCCTAGGCTTGCAACAGGGGAGAACATGATTCCAGAGCCTACTGGTGAGACACTTTCCTCATTTCTGGCTATGGAGGCTCCTACTCAGCTCTAGAGCAAGTGCTGCAATCTGTGGCCTGGGACTAAAATGCCTGCACAGCCATGCTGCTGGCTCACCAAGGAACAGCTGACTTTGTACACGCCAAGTTTAAAAATGGCATCCTGCTCTCAGCGCTGGGTCTAGGAAAATGTCTGCAGCTCTCCCTGGTGTTTTTCATTCACGGTGTCTCCAAGCCTCTCCCCAAGTTAGCTGCAGGGCTTGGGAGAAACAAAGTGCTCTCCTACAGCCTGGGATGCTGAGATCCACAGTGGCAAGGTGAGTCACAGAACGAGGCCCTCTGACTGTCTGACGTACTGGGGCTTCACTCACTTATATCAGCTGGACACCATCATGGAAGCTGTTTGCTGGCATTCTCCTTTCCAGGACTCAGACTGTCCTTCATGATGCCAGTGGATTCCTATTTTCCTTCTTAAATTAAAGCTCACGAAGTTGATCTTCATGTACTATCTTGCTATTTCCAAGTGGCTGAGGCATGCTGAAAGTCTCTAATCTGCCATCTTGGGGGAAGAAAGCTTTTTCTGTTTCATAGATATTTTCTTGTGTACCATTTTATTCCCTCCTGTTTCTTTTACTACATATTTTTTAGTTATTTTCTAACTGGTTATCTAGCAATTACAATTAACATCTTAATTTATAACAACCTGGTTCAAATTCATACCAACTTAGTTTCAGCAGTATGCGAAAAACTTAGCCTTTATGTTGTTACTGTTACAAGTTACATCTTTGTACATTGGTTTAAAAATTATAAACATATATTTAAAATTATTGTTTTATGAATTTGCCTTTTAAATCATATAGGAAAGTTACAAATCAAAAATACATTAAAACTGACTTTATATTTACCTGTTAGTTACCTTTTTTTTTAATTTATATTTTTTTGTTACAGAGTCTCACTGTGTTGCCAGGCTGGAGTGCAGTGGTGCCATCTAGGCTCACTGCAACCTCCGCCTCCCAGGTTCAAGCGATTCTTCTGCCTCAGCCTCCCAAGTAGCTGGGACTACAGGTGTGCACCACCACACCTGACTAATTTTTGTATTTTTAGTAGAGATGGGGTTTCACCATGTTGGCCAAGATGGTCTCGATCTCCTGACCTTGTGAACCGCCCACCTTGGCCTCCCAAAGTGCTAGGATTACAGGTGTGAGCCACCACACCCAGCTGTTGGTTTTTACCAGTGTTTTTATTTCTTCATGTGGATCTGAGCAGGTCTACTAGCACTGTCAAAGTTTATCTGGGAATATCTTAATTTTGCCTTCATTTTTAAAGCATAGTCTTGCAAAATATAGAATTCTTGCTTGTCTTACCCTGCTAGGACCACAATAACCACAGACTGGGAGGCTTAAACAGCAGAAATTTGTTTTCTCACAGTTCTAGAAGCTGGAAGTATAAGATCAAGGTGCCAGCAGGGTTGGTTTCTGGTAAGGCCTATCACTTTGGCTTGCAGGTGGCCCCTTCTTGCTATGCCTTCACATGGCCTTTTCTCTGTATATGTGCACTGAAAGAGACATCTCTGGTGTCTCTTCCTCTTTTTATAAGGACATCAGTCGTATTGGATTAGGACCCCACCTTTATGACCTTATTTAACCTTAGTTACCTCTTTAAAATCCCTATATTTGAATACTGTCACATTAGGAGTTAGGACTTAATATATGAATTTTGGAAGGGACTACAACTCAGTCTATAAGAATTGTCTTTTGACAATTTGATTATAATGTGTCTTGGTGTGTACCTCATTGAGTTTATCTTAAGAGTTTTTTGAGCTTCTTAGATGTGTATATTCATGTCTTTCATCCCTTTGGGCCATTATTTCTTCAATTATTCTTTCGGCCTCTTTCTCTTCTCTCCTCTGGGACACATGTTTTTATATGTTATGTAAATGAGTTGGAGATGGTCCTTCAATTCTGGCCTAAAATAATTCCCATGTTGTTTACTTCTTGACAGCAGCCCAAGACCATTAGCCCAAAGCCCACTGGTGCCAAACACAAATTCTCACACATCCAGTTCCTTTGGATATAGTCTAAACAATTTTTAGCCATTTACAACCTACTCACTTTACACATCCTCTGAAACTGCTCTCAATATTTTTTAACCATAGGTAAGACAAACCCTATAACTATTTTTAAAAACAAACAAACAAACCCACTGCTACTTTTTGAAGCTCTCTGACTTCCCACATTGCTACTTAGCAACATCACCTAGACATCTAAGCCCCTTCTCCTATTTTCACTTCTTCCCTGGGAGTGCTCTTGTCCTGTTTCCTTTCTAGGCGGTGGGTTCATGATGTTGTCTTGAAGATTTCTTCTTGGGAGGAACATCTTTCATGCAGCCCTATCTAAGCACTGCCCAACAAAGCGCATGTATTACTTCTTCTCATGGTCCTGTCTCTGCCTTAATCCTAGATGTTTGATGGTGACTCAGAAGTATCTTTACCTCTGTTTATTTTTTCATCATTCATTTTTCTTTCTTCTACTCACACTGGATAATATCAATGGGCCTATCTTCAAGTTCAGGGATCCTTTCTTCTGCACACTCAAATCTGCTGTTGAACTCCTCAGTGAATGCTTCATTTCAGTTATTGTACTTTTAAACTTCAGAATTTCTATTTGATACCTTTCTATAATCTCTTACTCTTTGGCTAGGTACAGGGGCTCATAATAGCAATCCCAACATGCTGGGAGGTCAAAGCAGGATAATTGCTTGAGTTCAGGAGTTCAAGGCCAGCCTTGACAACATAGAGAGAACTCATCTCTACAAAAAATGAAAAATTAGCTGCGTGCAGTAGCATGCACCTGTAGTCCCAGCTCCATAAGAGGCTGAGGCTGGAGGATTGCTTGAGTCCAGGAGTTTGAGGCTGCAATGAGCTATGATAACACCACTTGCAGTTCAGCCTGGGCAACAGATCAAGACCCCGAGAAAGAAAAAAATAATTAAATTTCTTACTCTTTGATGTTCTTTGATGAGGCATTTTTCTTGTGGTTTATTTTTGTTCTGTATATATTTTTTCCTTAAGCACTTTGAGCACACTTAAATTACTTGAATTAAAGTCTAATAAGTCCAATGGCTGAGCTTCCTCAGAGACAATTTCTATTATTTTTTTTCTTCTTATGTATGGGCCATACCTTATTGTTTCTTTGCCTGCTTTGTAATGTTGTGTTGAAACTAGACATTTCAAAATCTAAAATGTAGCAATATTATAACATTCTCCTCCCTCAAAAGGTTTCTTACTGCTGCTTGTTGTAGCTGTGAACTCAAAAGTATCTGAGACAGGTCCAAATCAATTTGGAAAGTTTATTTTGCCAGAGTTAAGGATGTGCCCATGACACAGCCTTGGAAGGTCCTGATGACATGTGCTCAAGGTGGTTGTGATACAGCTTGCTTTTATACATTTTAGGGAGACATAATACATCAGTGAATACCTATAAGATGCATATTGGTTCAATCTGGAAAGGCAGGACAACTTGAAGCAGAGGCATTCAAGTTATACATAGATTTAAAATTTTTCTGATTGGTAATTGGTTGAAAGAGTTAAGTTATTATCTAAAGACCTGAAATCAACAGAAAATAATGATATGACAATAAGGAGTTGTTAAGATCAAAGTTTTATCATGCAGATGAAGCTTCCAGGTAGTAGGCTTCTGAAAGAATAGATTGCAAATGTTTCTTCTCAGACTTAAGGTCTAGGTTGATGTTAACGCTGGTTGGTTTTTCCTGAATTCTGAAAGGGAGGAGGGTATAATGAGGCACATCTAATCCCCCTTCCCATAATGGCCTGAATTAGTTTTTTAGGTTAACTTTGGAATGCCCTTGGCTGAGAGGAGGGGTCCTTTTAGATGGTCAGAGGGCCTTAGAATTTTATTTTTGGTTTACATAGTTATTGCTTGTTTATTCGATTAATGGCTTTCCAAACTAATTTTCTAAAGTCTGTGTCCTTTGTCATATGTAGCCACTGAAGTCTCTGTTTCATTAACTTAGTGGTCAGCTAGTGATTTGATAGAGATTTTTTTAAACACATGGAACAGCAACGACAAAACTCTCCCTGTCTTTGCCAACACTCCCTGTGTGGGTTAGGGCAATGAGCCAAGCAGTTTACAACTCTACCTTAGCCTTCCCTTGCTGTTTGTGTGGACTCTGAGGGTCAGATAGAGATGAAGACATAAGGCCTCCTGAGGTATTTCATAAAATGCACCCAGCACTGGGCAACATATGCCTTCTAGATTCCCCATAATATGCAGGAATTTATCAAGGTCTTTATTCCACAAAGCATCTCTTCTCTACTCTTGCCTTCCAGGCTTTTTAGCTTCTCTGTTGTTCATCCCAACTATTATTCCTTGCTCCAGGTGGCAGCAGCAAATACATTTGCATTATAAGTTAGGCAAAATAAATGCAAAGCTCTGAGCTGGTATTTAGGAAGCCACCAGACAGGTCAAAACTAACAGCCACTATTCTTTGAGAATAACACCTATATTGCTCTTTCAGGTACCAGCAATATATACCAGGAATAAGGGCTGTGGTTCTTAAAGGTCACTGCCATGCTGGGGAGTGAGAAATGATACCAATGGTTCCAAGGAAAATTGTACCAAGCTGTGTATAATTTATTAATGGTCGCCTTTCTTGTAATCTTTAATTAGATTCCATAATCTCCACCCCCACCCTCGCAACACACACACAGACACACACACACACACACACACACACACAGTTAATTCTGACAGTTTTTGTCAGCTTATTCATTGCTTTTGTGGAATGATGGACTTTTGGAGTTCCCTTTTCTGCCATTTTCACTAATATCTCTCCAATCATCAAATTGGTTTCTTTGTTTTCCTATTGTTGAGTTTTAAGAGTTCTTTGTGCATTTTAGATACAAATTCTTTACCTTATATGTAATCTGTAAATATTTTTTCCTAGTTGATGACTCGTTTTTCATTTTCTTAACAGTGTTTTTTTGCAAAGCAAAGGTCTTTAATTGTATTAACCTAATGTATCAAAGTTTTTCTTTTACAAATCATGCTTTTGGTATTGTATCTAAAACCTCATCACCAAACTCAAAATCATGTAGATTTTCTCATATGTTTTCTTCTTCAAGCTTCATAAATTTTTATTTTGTAGGTCTATAATCTATTTTAAGTTAACTTATGTGTAATGAGTAAGGTCTGTGCCTAGGTTCACTTTTTTTTCTTTTTGCATATGGTTGCCTGATTATTCCAGCACTATTTGTGAAAAGACTATTCTTTCTCCATTGAATTGACTTTGCATTTTTATCAAAAATCATTTTACTATATTTGTGCCAATATATTTCCTGATTCTATTAATATATGCTATTTCACTGATCTATGTGTCTATTCTTTCACCAATACATGCTGCTTGATTATTGCAGCATTAGAGTAGGTATTAAAATAAGGCAGTGTCAGCTGGGTGCAGTGGCTCACGCCTGTAATCCCAACGCTTTGGGAGCCCGAGGCAGGCGGATTATCTGAGGTCAGGAGCTCAAGATTAGCCTGACCAATGTGGTAAAACCCTGCCTCTACTAAAAATACAAAAATTAGCCAAGCGTGGTGACACACACCTGTAGTCCCAGCTATTCAGGAGGCTAAGGCAGGAGAATCACTTGAACCCAGGAGTCAGAGGTTGCAGTGAGCCAAGATCATGCCACTGCACTCCAGCCTGGGCAACAGAGCAAGACTCAGTCTCAAAAAAGAAAATAGGTTAGTGTGAGTCCTCCCATTTTTTTCCATTTTTTTTCTAGGGGAGGGGGGTCTTGCGTTGGCTATTCTGGGTCCAGATCTATATCTTTGCATTGTCTTTTTTAAACACCTCATAAATGAATAACCACCAAGCATGGTGAACTTTAAAACTATGAAATATTAGGTAAATGTGTTTGAGAAAGAGGAATAAAGGTGTACCAATGGTCCTCTGTTAGTCAAACATGAAAAACAATAAAAGGATTTGTTGAAAAGACATTTAAAAATGTATGAAAAATTAGAAAATGTGTGAAGCCTGCTACCCTAAAAAACTGCGGAGAATGTGGAGTTATTAACACCACAGTTTTGGATCCCTAGACTCCATATATGATTATCATACAAAAGATTTAGTTAGATCAATGTTCGAATTTGTGAATCTACTATTAAAAAAAAACTATTACTATTACCAGAACCACTATGACACCTTGATCGTCATGACAGAGGTCTAACTTTACTAGATTTAACACACAAAGGCTTCGACCCAAGCCTATGCTTTAAAATTAGGATAACTAAGAGTGTTGGGATTTTCATCTAAAAGTAATGTCTGCGACAAAATGCACCCAAGAGATAGTCTGTCACATTCCATGCTAGTATTGCCAATGAATAATTTTTTTAAATTTATTTTTTTATTATACTTTAATTTCTGGGATACATGTGCAGAATGTGCAGGTTTGTTACATAGGTATACACGTGCCATGGGTTGTTTGCTGCACCCATCAACCCATCATCTACATTAGGTATTTCTTCTAATGCTATCCCTCCCCTAGCCCCCGACACCCTGACAGGCACTGGTATGTGGTGTTCCCCTCCCTATGTCCATGTGTTCTCATTGTTCAATTCCCACTTTTGAGTGAGAACATGCAGTGTTTGGTTTTCTGTTCTTGTGTTAGTTTTCTGAGAATGATGGTTTCCAGCTTCATCCATGTCTCTGCAAAGGACATGAACTCATCCTTTTTATGGCTGCATAGTATTCCATGGTATATATGTGCTACATTTT
Source organism: Homo sapiens (assembly GCF_000001405.40). Classification (NCBI taxonomy): domain Eukaryota; kingdom Metazoa; phylum Chordata; class Mammalia; order Primates; family Hominidae; genus Homo; species Homo sapiens. The sequence goes on along the minus strand of NC_000012.12, from coordinate 46,041,703 downwards.
CTTAATCCCGTCTATCATTGATGGACATGTGGGTTGTTTCCAAGTCTTTGCTATTGTGAAGAGTGCTGCAATAAACATACATGTGCATGTGTCTTCATAGTACAATGATTTATAATCCTTTGGGTATATACCTACTAATGGGATTGCTTGGTCAAATGGTATTTCTGGTTCTAGATCCTTGAGGAATCACCACACTGTCTTCCACAATGGTTGAACTAATTTACATTCCCACCAACAGTGTAAAAGCGTTCCTGTTTCTCCACATCCTCTCCAGCATCTGTTGTTCCCTGACTTTTTAATGATCGCCATTCTAACTGGTGCGAGATGGTATCTCATTGTGGTTTTGATCTGCATTTCTCTAATGACCAGTGATGATGAGCTTTTTTCATGTTTGTTGGCCACATAAATGTCTTCTTTTGAGAAGTGTCTGTTCATATCCTTTGCCCACTTTTTGTTGGGGTTGTTTGATTTTTCTTGTAAATTTGTTTAAGTTCCTTTTAGAGTCTGGATATTAACCCTTTGTCGAAAGAAGAGATTGCAAAAATTTTCTCAGATTCTGCAGGTTGCCTGTTCACTCTAATGATAGTTTCTTTTGCTGTGCAGAAGCTCTTTAGTTTAATTAGATCTCATTTGTCAATTTTGGCTTTTGTTGCCATTGCTTTTGGTGTGTTAGTCCTGAAGTCTTTGCCCATGCCTATGTCCCAAGTGGTATTGCCTAGGTTTTCTTCTAGAGTTTCTATGGTTATAGGTCTTACGTTTAAGTCTTAATCCATCTTGAGTTAATTTTTGTATAAGGTGTAAAAAAGGGTTCCAGTTTCAGTTTTCTGCATATGGCTAGCCAGTTTTCCCAACAACATTTATTAAATAGGGAATCCTTTTCCCATTGCTTGTTTTTTTCAGGTTTGTCAAAGATCAGATGGTTGTAGATGTGTAGCATTATTTCTGAGGCCTCTGTTCTATTCCATTGGTCTATATATCTGTTTTGGTACCAGTACCATGCTGTTTTGGTTACTGTAGCCTTGTAGTATAGTTTGAAGTCAGGTAGCATGATGCCTCCAGCTTTGATCTTTTTGCTTAGGACAGCCTTTGCTACACAGGCTCTTTTTTGGTTCCATATGAAATTTAAAGTAGTTTTTTTCTAATTCTGTGAAGAAAGTCAATGGTAGCTTGATGGGGATAGCATTGAATCTATAAATTACTTTGGGCAGTATGGCCATTTTCATGATATTGATTCTTCCTATCCATGAGCATGGAATGTTTTTCCAATTGTTTGTATCTTCTCTTATTTCCTTGTGTAGTGGTTTGTAGTTCTCCTTGAAGGGGTCTTTCACGTCCCTTGTAAGTTGTATTCCTAGGTATTTTATTCTCTTTGTAGCAATTGTGAATGGGACTTCACTCATGATTTGGCTCTCTGTTTGTCTATTATTGGCGTATAGGAATGCCTGTGATTTTTGCACATTGATTTTGTATCCTGAGACTTTGCTGAAGTTGCTTATCAGCCTAAGGAGATTTTGGGCTGAGACAATGGGGTTTTCTAAATATACAATCATGTCATCTGCAAACAGGGACAATTTGACTTCCTCTCTTCCTATTTGAATATGATTTATTTCTTTCTCTTGCCTGATTGCCCTGGTCAGAACTTCCAATACTATGTTGAATAGGAGTGGTGAGAGAGGGCATCCTTATTTTGTGCCAAACGGAATGCTCCCAGCTTTTGCTCATTCAGTATGATATTGGCTGTGGGTTTGTCATAAATATCTCTTATTATTTTGAGATACATTCCATCAATACCTAGTTTATTGAGAGTTTTTAGCATGAAGTGATGTTGAATTTTATCGAAGGCCTTTTCTGCATCTATTGAGACAATCATGTGGATTTTGTCATTGGTTCTCTTTATGTGATTGATTATGCTTATTGATTTTCATATATTTACCCAGTAGTCATTCAGGAGCAGGTTGTTCAGTATCCACGTAGTTGTGCAGTTTTGAGTGAGTTTCTTAATCCTGAGTTCCAATTTGATTGCACTGTGGTCTGAGAGACTGTTTGTTATGATTGCCATTCTTTTGCATTTGCTGAGGAGTGTTTTACTTCCAAATATGTGGTCAATTTTAGAATAAGTGCAATGTGGTGCTGAGAAGAATGTATATTCTGTTGATTTGGAATGGAGAGTTCTGTAGATGTTTATTAGGTCTGCTTGGTCCAGAGCTGAGTTCAATTCCTGGATATCCTTGTTAATTTTCTGTCTCATTGATCTGCCTAATATTGACAGTGGGGTGTTAAAATCTCCCACTATTATTTTGTGAGAGTCTAAGTCTCTTTGTAGGTCTCTAAGAACTTGCTTTATGAATCTGGGTGCTCCTTTATTGGGTGCATATGTATTTAGGATAGTTAGCTCCTCTCGTTGCATTGAATCCATTTACCATTATGTAATGCTCTTCTTTGTCTTTTTTTATCTTTGCTGGTTTAAAGTCTGTTTTAATCAGAGGCTAGGATTACAACCCCTGCCTTTTTTTTTTTTAGCTTTCCATTTGCTTGGTAAATATTCCTCCAGACCTTTATTTTGAGCCTATGTGTGTTTTTGCACGAGAGGTGGGACTCCTGAATACAGCGCATCAATGGGTCTTGACTCTTTATCTAATTTGCCAGTCTGTGTCTTTTAATTGGGGCATTTAGCCCATTTACCTTTAAGGTTAATATTGTTATGTGTGAATTTGATCCTGTCATTATGATGCTAGCTGTTTATTTTGCCTGTTGGTTGATGCTGTTTCTTCACAGTGTTGATGGTCTTTACAATTTGGTATATTTTTGCAGTGGCTGGTACTGTTTTTTTCCTGCCATGATTAGTGCTTCCTTCAGGAGATCTTGTAAGGCAGGCCTGGTGGTGACAAAATCTCTCAGCATTTGCTTGTTTGTAAAGAGTTTTATTTCTCCTTCACTTATGAAGCTTAGTTTGGCTGGATATGAAATTCTGGGTTGAAAATTCTTTTATTTAAGAATGTTGAATGTTGGCCCCCACTCTCTTATGGCTTGCAGGGTTTCTGCAGAGAGATCAGCTGTTAGTCTGATGGGCTTCCCTTTGTGGGTAACCCAACCTTTCTCTCTGGCTACCCTTAACATTTTTTCCTTCATTTCAACCTTGGTGAATCTGACAATTAAGTGCCTTGGGGTTGCTCTCTTCCCGAAGAATATCTTCATGGTGTTGTCTCTATTTCCTGAGTTTGGATGTTGGCCTATCTTGCTAGGTTGGGGAAGTTCTCCTAGATAGTAAACTGAAGAGTCTTTTCAAATTTGGTTCCATTCTCCCTGTCACTTTCAAGTACACCAATCAAACGTAGGTTTGGTCTTTTCACATAGTCCTATATTTCTTGGAGGCTTTGTTCATTCCTTTTCATTCTTTTTTCCCTAAGCTTGTCTTCATGCTTTATTTCATTAAGTTGAGCTTCAATTTCTGATACCCTTTCTATCGCTTGATCGATTTGGCTATTGATACGTGTGTATGCTTCACGAAGTTCTCATGCTGCATTTTTCAGCTCCATCAGGTCATTTATGTTCTTCTTTAAACTGGTTATTCTAGTTAGCAATTTCTCTAACCTTTTTTCAAGGTTCTTAGCTTCCTTGCATTGCATTAGAACATGCTCTTTTTGCTCGGAGGAGTTTGTTATTACCCACCTTCTGAAGCCTACTTCTGTCAATTCGTCAAACTCATTCTCTGTCCAGTTTTGTTCCTTTGCTGTCGAGGAGTTGTGATCCTTTGGAGGAGAAGAGGCATCCTGTTTTTTGGAATTTTCAGCCTTTTTGCACTGGTTTTTCCTCATCTTTATGGATTTATCTATCTTTGATCTTTGATACTGGTGACCTTTGGATGGGGTTTCTGTGTGGATGTCCTTTTTGTTGATGTTGATGCTATTCCTTTCTGTTTACTAGTTTTCCTTCTAACAGGCCCCTCAGCTGCAAGTCTGCTGGGGTTTGCTGAGGTCCCCTCCAGACCCTGTTTGCCTGGGTATCACCAGCAGAGGCTGCAAAACAGCAAAGATTGCTGCCTGTTCCTTCCTCTGGAAGCCTTGTCCCAGAGGGGCACCCGCCAGATGCCAGCAGGATCTCTCTTGTATGAGGTGTCTCCCAGTCAGGAGGCATGGGGGTCAGGGACCCACTTGAGGAGGCAGTCTGTCCCTTAGCAGAGCTCTAGTGCTGTGCTGGGAGGTCTGCTTCCCTCTTTGGGGCTGGCAGGCAGGAAAATTTAAACCTGCTGAAGCTGCGCCCACAGCTGCCCCTTCCCCCAGGTTCTGTCCCTGGGAGATGGGAGTGTTATCTATAAGCCCCTGACTGGGGCTGCTGCGTTTCTTTCAGAGATGCCCTGCCCAGAGAGGAGGAATCTAGAGAGGCAGTCTGGCTACAGTGGCTTTACTGAGCTGCAGTGGGCTCCACCCAGTTTGAACTTCCCTGTGGCTTTGTTTACAGTGTGAGGGGAAAACTGCCTACTCAACCCTCAGTAACGGTAGATGCCTATCCCCCCACCAAGCTCCAGTGTCCCAGCTCGGCTTCAGACTGCTGTGCTAGCAGCAAGAATTTCAAGCCAGTGGATCTTAGCTTGCTGGGCTCTGTGGGTGTGGGATCCACTGAGCTAGACCACTTGGCTCACTGGCTTCAGTCCCTTTTTCAGGGTGTTTCATGTGTCCATGTGAAGAGACCACCAAACAGGCTTTGTGTGAGCAACAAGGCTGTTTATTTCACCTGGGTGCAGGCGGGCTGAGTCCGAAAAAGGAGTCAGCAAAGGGTGGTGGGATTATCATTGGTTCTCATAGGTTTTGGAATAGGCGGTGGAGTTAAGAGCAATGTTTTGAGGGCATGGGGCGGATCTCACAAAGTACATTCTCAAGGGTGGGGAGAATTACAAAGAATCTTCTTAAGGGTGGGGAAGATTATAAAGAACCTTCCTAAGGGTGGGGGAGATTACAAAGTACATAGATCAGTTAGGTTGGGACAGAAATAAATCACAATGGTGGAAAGTCATCAGTTAAGGCTATTTTCACTTTTTTGTGGATCTTCAGTTGCTTCAGGCCATCTGGATGTATACCTGCAGGTCACTGGGGATATGATGGCTTAGCTTAGGCTCAGAGGCCTGACATTCCTGTCTTCTTATATTAATAAGAAAAATAAACAAAATAGTGGTAAAGTGTTGGGGCAGCAGAGATAATGGGCGATGTTTCTCAGGGTTGCTTCGAGCGGGATTAGGGGTGATGTGGGAACCTAGAGTGGGAGAGATTAAGCTGAAGGAAGATTTTGTAGTAAGGGGTGATATTGTGGGATTGCTAGAAGGAGCATTTGTCGTATAGAATTATTGATGATGGCCTGGATGCAGTTTTGTATTTGTCAGGCCTCTGAGCCCAAGCCAAGCCATCACATCCCCTGTGACTTGCACGTATACACCCAGATGGCCTGAAGTAACTGAAGATCCACAAAAGAAGTAAAAATAGCCTTAACTGATGACATTCCACCATTGTGATTTGTTCCTGCCCCACTCTAACTGATCAATGTACTTTGTAATCTCCCCCACCCTTAAGAAGGTTTGTTGCAATTCTCTCCACCCTTGAGAATGTACTTTGTGAGATCCACCCCTGCCCACAAAACATTGCTCTTAACTTCACCGCCTATCCCAAAATCTATAAGAACTAATGATAATCCATCTCCCTTCGCTGACTCTCTTTTTGGACTCAGCCCACCTGCACCCAGGTGAAATAAACAGCCATGTTGCTCACACAAAGCCTGTTTGGTGGTCTCTTCACAAGGACGCGCATGAAGGTATGAATTGAGAAACTAAATGGAAGACACAAGATCCGAATAAGAGAAGGAGAAAAACAGGTATTAAAGGACTAAGAATTGGGAGGACCTAGGACATCTAATTAGAGAGTGTCCAAGGGGGTCCAAGGGGGTTTAGGGGTTTAGCATAATTACTTGCTTGGTTGGCAAGTTTTTAGGCTCTATCTTTGAGGGGTTTTTTTAATGTTGTCATATACCAGGCCAGATTGATTTAGGGAAAAACAGCACTCTTCATTTAAAAATATACAGAGTCCCCCCTATTTTTTTAGCAGTGAGTAAGTCGAGGCCTCAGTGATTTTAGAGGAAAGAGAAATGCAAAGCCAGCAATTGTTTGTTAAAGAAGGATTAGAAATGGCTAGGAGAGAGTGACTGAGATTGATAGTGTGGTGGAGATAGCTGGGGAGAGGTAGAGGGTGGCATAAGAATGGGAACCAGAATAAGAGTAAATATAAAAGTAAAGAATAGGACTTCATCAGGGTGAAAGGATTGGAGGGTACCTTGCCATTGAAGATGTTCTATCCACTTAAAGAGAGACTTAAGGGTGGCGACTTGAGGTAAAACCAGGAGCCACTAAATACCAAGAGCCTGAGAAACTGCTTGGGTGATTTGACTAATAAAGGCCAGCCCGTTATTGGACTGTATAGAGATGGGAAGGCCAAACTGAGGAATTATGTCTGACAGAAGGGAAGAAATGACGGCAGACCCTGTGGGAAAGGCCTCTACCCATCCAGTGAAAGTGTCTACCCAGACCAAGTGGTATTTTAGTTTACTGACTTGAGGCATGTGAGTAAAGTCAATTTGCCAGTCCTGGGTGGGGGCAAATTCCCGAGCTTGATGCATAGGGAAGGGAGGGGGCCTGCAGATGGAACACTGAGAAGTGATTTCCTTGAGGATAGATTTCCAAGATGGAAAGGAAATGAGAGGTTCTAAGAGATGGGCTAGCGGCTTGTAGCCTATGTGGAAGAGGTTAGGAAATGATGACAGAATAGAATGGGCGTGTGAGGCTGGAAGGAGATATTTTCCTTGGTCCAAGGACCATTTGCCTCATGTGGGAAGAGATTGATATGTGGAAACTTCAGTAGGAAAGTAAATAGGAGTGACCAATGAGAAGGAGAAAAACTGGCCATGAGAGACAGAAGTTGGAATGCTAGCTGCTTTTTTTAGCTACCTTATCAGTATAATCATTGCCCTGAGCGATGGGATCTGATGCCCTTTGATGGCCCTTGCAGGGAATGACTCCAGCTTCCTTTGGAAGTAAAGCAGCCTTGAGAAGAGTTTTTATTAAAGAGGCATTAATGATGGAAGACCCTTGCATAGTGAGGAAACCTTTCAGCCCATGAAACAGCATGGTGGTGCAGGATATGGGGTCAGTATAAATATTGACTCATAGTCCCTTTGCAAGAGTGAGAGCCCGAGTTAAGGCAATGAGTTTGGCTTGCTGAGAGGTAGTGGAGGGGGCGGAGCAGTGTCCTCAATGATAGATGTGGAAGATACCATAGCATAGCCTGCCTTTGCTGGTGAGTGGCTATTAGGCCTGGTGGAACTGACATCAATAAACCAAGTGTGATCAGGGTGAGGAAAAGGAAAGAAGGAAATATGGGGAAATGGAGTGAATGCCAAGTGTATCAGAGAGATACAGTCATAGGAGTCAAGTGTGGTATCAGGAATAATGTGGGAGGCCGGATTGAAGTCCGGGCCAGGAACAATGGTAACTGTGGGAGACTCAACAAAGAGTGAGTACAGCTGAAGGAGCCGGGGAACAGAAAGTATATGTGTCAGGGGTGAGGAAGAAAATAGATTTTGGAAGTTATGAGAACTGTAGAAAGAGAGTTCAGCATAGTTTGTGAGTTTGAGGGCCTCTAAAACTATTGGTGGCAGTAGCCACCACACGCAGACATGAGGGCTAGGCTAAAACAGTAAGGTCAAGTTGTTTGGACAGAAAGGCTACAGGGCGCAGTCCTGGTCCATGTGTGAGAATTCCAACTGCAGAGCCCTTACTTCAGCTGTGTGTAATGAAAAGGGTTGGGCTGAGTCAGGGAGAGCTAGTGTGGGGGCTGTCTCTAAAGCTGTCTTCAAGGAATGGAAAGAGGAGTGGGGAAAGGATTTAGGATCTGTGGGGTCAGCTAGGTTTGGTTTTGTGAGTTTACATAATGGTTTAGTCAGGATGGTAAAACTAGATATCCAAAGGTGGAAGTACCTAACCATGCCTAGGAAGGAAAGGAGTTGTTGTTTTGTAGAAGGGATTGTGGTTTGGGAGATTAGCTGGACATGATCAGCAGGGAGAGCGTGTGCATTTTCATGAGAACTATGCCAAGATAGGTAGCAGATAAGGAAGAAATTTGGGCTTGACTGAAGTAATGGGGGCTGTCTGTAAAGCCTTGTGGCAGTACACCCCAGGTAGTTTACTGAGCCTGATGGATGTCAGGGTCTGTCCAAGTGAAAGCAAAGAGAGGCTGGGATGAAGGGTGCAAGGAATAGTGAAGAAAGAATGTTTGAGATCCAGAACAGAATAATGGGCTATGGAGGGGGTGTGGAGGGAAGTATTGAGGACAGGAGACTATATGGCTTTGGCACCACGGGGTGGATAGGCAAGACAATTTGGTTGACAAAGTGCAGATCCTCAACTAACCTGTAAGACTTGTCCAGTTTTTTGACAGGTAAAATGGGGGAATTGTAAGGAGAGTCTATAGGCTTTAAAAGGCCAGCTGTAACAGGCGAGCGATAACAGGCTTTAATCCTTTTAAAGCATGCTGCCGGGCCGGGCGCGGTGGCTCACGCTTGTAATCCCAGCACTTTGGGAGGCCGAGGCGGGTGGATCACGAGGTCAGGAGATCGAGACCATCCTGGCTAACACGGTGAAACCCCGTCTCTACTAAAAATACAAAAAAAATTAGCCGGGCGTGATGGCGGGCGCCTGTAGTCCCAGCTACTCGGGAGGCTGAGGCAGGAGAATGGCGTGAACCCAGGAGGCGGAGCTTGCAGTGAGCCGAGATTGAGCCACTGCACTCCCGCCTGGGCCACAGAGCGAGACTCCGTCTCAAAAAAAAAAAAAAAAAAAAAAAAAGCATGCTGCCGGATGGGATATTGGCGTTGAGTGGGGTAAGGGTGATTAGGTTTTAATGGGAGGGTAAGGGGTGCATGATTGGTCACCAAGGAGGGAGTAGAGACATCCTATACTTGTGGTTTAAGGTGAGGAGATACAAGGCAAGGATGTGAAGGAGGCTTTGAACTGGGAAAAAAAGGCGGCAATGATGTGTGGCTGTAGCCCAGGAATAGTCAGGGAAGCAGATAATTTAGTTAAAATGTCTCGGCCTAATAAGCGAACTGGGCAGGTGGGGATAACTTAAAGAGTGCATAAAAGAATGCCCAAGTTGGCACCAGAGTTGGGGAGTTTTAAGAGGTTTAGAAGCCTGGCCGTCAATACCCACAACAGTTATGGAGGCGAGGGAAACAGGCCTTTGAAAAGAAGGTAATGTGGAGTGGGTAGCCTCCATATTAATTAAGAAGGGGACAGACTTACCCTCCACTGTAAGAGTTACCAAAGCATCTGTGATGGTCCAAGAGGCTTCTGAGGCGATTGGGCAGCGTCAGTCTTCAGCTGCTAAGCCGAGAAGATCTGGGAAGGAGTCAGTCAGAGCCTTGGGCCAGTTGGACTGTCCAATTTCCAGTGGGGTCCCACACAGATGGGACACGGCTTAGGAGGAATCCTGGGCTGTGGGCATTCCTTGGCCCACTGGCCAGGCTTTTGGCATTTGAAGCAAGGCCCATGAGGATGTTTTGAAGGAGCCCCTGGGAGCTGTGGCTTGGATGTTCTGAAGTTTTTGTATGCTGGAGATGTGGTTGTGGGCTGTCTTACAGCGGAGGCAAGTAGCTGTAACTCAGAAATGCATTGCTGTCTGGCTACCTCTTCTCTATTATTGTACACCTTGAAGGCGAGGTTGATTAATTCCTGTTGTGGGGTTTAAGGGCAGGAGTGAACGGTTCTGTGTCGCTGGCATTCCAGGTGCCACTGGGTATGAAAAGAAACTCCTGCAGCTAGTTTGCTGTCTGCCCAAACAGCCTCCCAGTTTTATGCTTGAAACCCAGGGCCCTGGTGGCATAGGAACCCGAGAGAATCTCCTGGTCTGAGGGTTGAGAAGACCATGGGAAAAGAGTAATTTCTGGGCGGGAATGCACCATTCCTCACGACACAGTCCCTCATGGCTTCCCTTGGCTAGGGGAGGGAGTTCCCCAACCCCTTATGCTTTCCAGGTGAGGTGACACCCTACCCTGCTTTGGCTTGCCCTATATGGGCTGCACCCACTATCTAACCAGTCTCAATGAGATAAGCCAGGTACCTCAGTTGGAAATGCAGAAATCACCCACCTTCTGCGTTGATCTCACTGGGAGCTGCAGACCAGAGCTGTTCCTATTCAGCCATCTTGCTAGCCCTCTACCAATGAATAAATTTTTAAAGAAAATGTTGCTAATATGGACAAATGCCCTATATTGATTCCTGATGTCTCTGGAAGACGTGAGTAAATCTGAGAAAAAGTCATGAGAGTAGGTTCTTTTAAAGGACTGTAGAAACCCTTTTAGCTTCAGGGATAATTCAAGGCTGCAAACGAATTAATGTCCCTGCCTCTAAATTAGTCAAGGTACTCAGAATGATGGGTTTTTTTAAACAAGCAAGAAATCTCAGGGAAATTCATTTTTAATATAATTTAAAAAGAAACTTAATAATTCTCACTTCTTCCCTTGAGTAATATAAATTTCAAATGTCTTTAGTAAAAAATGTTTCAGAATTTTCAGGAAATGTTAAATGTTAGAACTAAAACAATATGATATTAAAATAATCAATGAGGATTCCTCTTGAAATAACTTTATCTCTGCTTAAGGGAAACTGTCTATCCAGTATTTTCCTCAGGAGACAATACAGCAGGACAGCATTACATGGTCAATTATCTAACATCTCACTTCCTTGTGCCTCCAGAACACAGGAATTCTTTCTTTGGGGTTCTGTAATGAAGAAACGTTTTCTATTAGATGCTATTAAAGTTTTCTTTGTGTGTTTTAATTTGGAAGAAACAGTGTCGAGGTTGGTGGTCTTTAAACTAGATTTGTACTTTATTTTAAAATGTGCTGTGGGTGGGGGAGTGGAAGTTCTTCAATTTCCTTAGAAGAAATTAGGAAGAGTCCTTTCTTCAATATAGATTAATACAAAAAAATCATTTTGAAGAATGAATAATGTGACTTATGGGTAATAAATATTGGCTTGCTCTATCCCCTTTCACACTGTATGTAAGCCAATATGAGTGATACTTCATCCTCTCAGCAGATGAGTAGTTGTGATTTTAGTAGAGGTTCTTTCACCTTATTTGCCTCATTTCCTCAATGATTGCACTTCAGTCTAAGAAAAAAATCTTCTTACTTATGGTAACAAGAGTAGGGAGGGCACAAGTCAAGGTATTGCATGGATATTAATATAGTGCAGCCTAAATTTCATTTGGCATCACTAATTATGACACAATGTTATTAAGGCCTACATTTATCTCCTAGTTACTCCCTGATGATGATGCATAGTCTCTGATTTCTCACAAAGTGTCTCTAAGTATTCCTGAAATGTCTCATTTGTCCTAAACTTCTACCATATTTATTCCACGGGACTGCAAAAAAAAAAAAAAAAAAAAAAAATCTCCTGTTGTTCCATCTAGCAAAGTAATTCTCTCCTGATGACTAGTGCTACTCTATCAAGCACTTGTGGAAATTTAACGCCATCCCATACTGTTCCTTTATATTCAATATAATCCCTACTGAGACTTTGCCACATGCAGCAGTTCTCCAGAGGTACACTTAGACCTCAAGGTGTGCAAACTGCATCGCTGTGCATATCAGGGATTAGCAGATGTTTCCTCAGCATTATAACTCACTCTATGAGTGCAATACTAAGGACATTTGGGAACCCATGGGTTAAAGATTTTAATGAAACAGTTCTTTTGGTTTTTACTTAAATATGTAGCTTTCTGTCCCTGAAACCCAGAAATGTATCCAGAAGGCTGGACTGAAGACAGATTGATCAACAACCATCAGGCTTTATGCAGAATCCTTATTCTCTCAGAAGAAAATATGGCCAAATCTCAAGCTGAGATTTGAGAATCTTCTACGCTCAATTAGAGAGAAACTTCAACAAGTTGTTGTTTGTCTTATTAAATATAGAGTGTTCAAAGGGATAATATCTAACTTTCAATGGTTTTATTTTTGATTTGGCAATTATTTATTATTCCTTCACGTTTTTGTTTTAATCACTGTAAAGCTATCATGAGACTTTTGGTCTCTGCTCTAGCATGTAAAGAGATTGAAAGTCACCATGCCATCCTAATTACAAGTAAAAGCCTGAACAAACTGAAAAATGAACAACTCTTCTTAGATCTGTCAGAGGAGCAAGGTCACAGGGCAAACAATTGTCCTACAAATTGGAGAGACAGAGAATCCCAACTTACAGGAGTTGAAACTCCCAAGAAAAAAATCTCCATGAGAACCAATGCCTGGGTAGCAAAATGTGAACTGTAACTGACAAATTGCCGGAGGCTCAGTGTGGAAAAACTCCAGTGCAACCCAGTCCTAGGGCTGAAGCCATAGTTTTGTGAATTTTAAAATCCAGAAGGTTGACCAGGTTTTCACAGTGAATATTGGAGGAAAATTCCTTCATGCTTATGGTGATGAAGGGGGAAAGAAACCTTTTGAAATTTGCCAGAACCTTTTGTTCTTCTTAAGAATGTCTGCTCTCCAGAGAAACTAATTTACCAGAGCCTAAATTATTGGGGTTTTGCTAGAGCTTAACTGACTTGAGGGAAGGAAAATAACCAACTCCAGCCTACTCTAACCATCTTGTCCCCAAATCTAAGAGGTTGGGGAGAGTGTGGGAGATGGAGAAGCACTTGGGAAATTCATAGTCCAGATACACAGTTTCACTAAAAGACTGAGACCTAATCACAGGACTACAGAACACATCCCCATCCCCACATATTACCACCACATTAGTAAAGTACCGTTTATAGTAATTCTTTAACTGCAATACATCAAAAAAAGATTATAAGGCACACTTAGAGGCAAAAGACACATTTTGAAGAGAAGAACAAGCATAAGATCCAGACTTCAATATGGCAGGGATATTGAAATTATCAGAAAGGGAATTTAGAACTATGACTAATATGCTTAGTGTGGCTACAATTAACCTGCAGATAATCACCAGAGGTCCTCCCCTGGCTTAGCACAGAAAGAGTAGGCAATAAACTCTAGCTCACAGCTTCTTCCAGAAGAGCAAAAGAGTTGGACTGCACATCTAATGCCCCAAATTATTTAGGTGCTACCTGAGGAGCTGGCTTCCATCTTCCTGTCTTAGAAAGTTGACATGGCCTGGCATACACTGTCTTCTAGAAGTGACAGAGAACAAAGCAGTGGTTTGAACTAGTATCCAGGCAGTCAGCACAACTCCTCTCTATGGCTCAATTCAGAGCAAGTGGATAAAAAAACAAAAACCCCAAAAACCTCAGCAACCAGCTTATCCCTGGAGAGGGAAAGAGTTGGACCATGCACCTAGACTTCCAACTTCTATAGGAGCTACCTGATGACTTGGCTTCTTTTCCAGCTATCTAAGAATGTTGACAGAACCTGGCATACTCTAAAGGTCTGGAAGCCACTAAGAACAAAGACAGAAGTTTGAACTAGCATGAAGGTTTGAGAGGCCCACAAAAGTTTGGGCCAGGTTGATTGGTGAAGCTCTTCTCCTGTACAAGACAAATCCAGAAAGACTGGGAGATGGTAAAGTTTTTTCTAATGCATAGATATCAACAGGAAGAATCAAGGAAAATTAAGAAACAAAGAAACATTATCCAAACAAAAGAAAAAGATTAAACTCCAGAAACTGATCCTAATGAAATGGGAATATATAAATTACTTCAGAGAAAAATCAAAATAAGTGTCACAAAAAATACTTCATGAGCTTGGGGGAGCAATGTAAAAACAAAAGGATAATTTCAACTAAGAGAGAAAATTTTAAAAAGGACCAAACAAATCATGGAGCTGAAGAATACCAATAGCTGAACTGAAAAAATCAAAAGAGGGGTAAAATGTATGAGTAAAGCAAACAGAAGAAAAAATGAGAGAACTTGGAGAAAGATCACATGGAATTATTCATCAGAGGAGTAAAAGAAAAACAGCAAAGATAGCTTAAGGGATATACAGCACACCATTAAGAAAGACCAATACAAGCATTATAGAAGTCTCAGAAGAGGAAGAGAGACAGCGAGAGAAAAAATAAGCAGAAAGCTTATTCTAAGAAATAATGGCTGAAAAAGTATCAAATGTGAGAAAGGAAATGGACATTTAGATGCAGGAAACTTACAGAACCCAACTTAAGATGAACCCTAAAAATCCACACTGAGAAATATTATAATTAAATTGTCAAAGACAAAGAAAGATTTTTGAAAAAACACCAAGAGAAAAACAACATGTCACATATGAGGGAATCCTCATGAGACTATCACTAGTTTTTAGCAGAAATCTTGCAGGTCTGAATGGCATGGGATGATATATATTCAAAGTGCTGTGGGAAAAAACAAACAAACAATCAAATAATAATATACATGGCAACACTATCCTTCAAGAATGAAAAAGAGATAAAGACAATCTGAGACAGAAAGGGGCTTCCAGTTCCAAAAGTGGCATACAGTGCTGAGATTATCACCAGCAATATCCCAGAACTCAAAAATGAAGATAAAGCAGTTCCTGGGGTCACAGGGAAGTGAAAAACCTCTGAGTAGATGATAAGAAAATCAGACTTCCATGTCCATAACACCCCTTCCCTCAATTTGCCCCAAACCAAACATGCAGAAAATTTCTCCTCAACTCACAATTTTTACACTGGAAAAAGTGAGATCAAGATGAATAATCAGCTTCCCCACTATGTTGAGTTCCATGACAGAAGACATGTCCCTGCCCCAACCCACAGGAAGCATTGTGAATGCCTAATGGGAGAAATAGCCCTGTGGACAGCCAGAGACAAAGGGAGATGGTGGGACTGCCATCCCCTACCCTGGAAACTGCTCTGTAACTCAGCCAAAGATGATACTAAACCAGAGTGAATGTTCAGCAGCACCATGCTGTAGGAAAAGTGTTCCATAGGTCTCCTGGACATGAACCCCTAACCAGCCTTCCCATACTGCTGGGATGTACTTTTGGGGCATTCTCCATTTGGGACAGGCAGCACTCTGATCCTTTTCTAGACCTGAAACAAACCTGGGCTTAAAATACTATCTAGTGCTAAATGGACACAGCAATCTAGTGGGAAAAAAAAGAAAGAAATTCAACAGGAAGGCCAGGTGCAGTGGCTCATGCTTGTAATCCCAGCACTTTGGGAGGCCAAGGCGGGCAGATCATGAGGTCAGGAGATCGAGACCATCCTGGCTAACATGGTGAAACCCCATTTCTACTAAAAATACAAAAAAAAATAGCCGGGCATGGTGGCGGGCACCTATAGTCCCAGCTACTTGGGAGGCTGAGGCAGGAGAATGGCATCAACCCAGCAGGCGGAGCTTGCAGTGAGCTGAGATCACGCCACTGCACTCCAGCCTGGGTGACAGAGCGAGACTCCATCTTAAAAAAAAAAAAAAAAAATAGAAATTCAACAGGAAAATTACCAAAAAAAAAAAAAGTCTAAGAAAAATATCCAATTAAAAAAAAAACAAGCTAGTCAAAGAAGACTGGAAAAATAAATAATCAGTGCAAAGACATAGATTCACATCATCAATAAACAACAGCAAACAGGGAATCAAGACCTCCACAAACTAATGAAGCAAGAAACCAGTGACGGACCCTAAAGAGATGGCAATATGTAAGCTCTCTGACCAAGAATTCAAAATAGCAAATTGCTGGGTGTGTTGACTCACACCTGCAATCCTAGCACTTTGGGAGGCCAAAGTAGGAGGGTCAGTTGAGCCCAGGAGTTTAAGACCAGCCTGGGCAACATAGCAAGACCTCATCTCTACAAAAAAAATTTAAAAATTAGCCAGGCATGGTGATACGTGCATGGTGATAGTTGCAGGTACTCAGGATAATGAGGCAGGAGGATCGCTTAAGCCCAGGAGGTCAAGGCTGCAGTAGGTCAGGTTCAGGCCACTGCACTCCAGTCTGGGTGACAGAGTGAGACCCTGTCTCCAAACACACACACACACACACACACACACACACACACACACACCAAGGCACAGTTTTAAGATAATTCAATGACCTCCAAGATAACACAGAAAAGCAATTCAGAATCTTATCAAAAAATCTAACAAAGAGATTGAAATAATGAAATCAAACAGAAATCTTGGAACTGAGAAATACATTGGCTGAACTAAAAAATTCATTAGGGGGTCCTCAATAGCAGAATGGATCATGCAGAGGAAAGAATCAGTGAGCTTCCCCTCTCCCCCACAAGATGGGGAATTGGAGGCAATGTCAGCATGCCTCTCCACTTGGAAGGACAAAATAGGTGTAGAGATTCACATTGTGAACTTTTTTCCAAGAAGCAATACAGGAACTTAACAGGAAAAGTGAAAGAATCCACAGACTCTTTGAAAGAAGTGGCAGGCTTCAGCCTACACCATGAAACAGGCCAAAAACTAAGTCCCCAGAGTGTTAGAGTGGGAGAGACTGCCTCCAGGATACATATCCCCATTAAGGAACTTAAAAATCCAGGCCACAGGTGAAGGCCTTAATCCAACACAGAACAGGAACTGATTTAGGGAGCAGTGAAATATAAAAGTAGAAGCAGCAGTGGGAAGTGCCTTGCAGGCATTCCCAATCTCCAGTGCAGACCAAGGGAAGCCATTCCTTATTATATCTCACAGGAACCTCAGCAAAGTCAACCAACCAGCTCAGACAGTAGTCACAACTCCCAACTGAATTTCACAATATAACATCAAGTAGGGACAAATTCTCTTGGTCAGAACCCTGGAGGGGTGGGGACGGCAAGTGGAAAGTATGCTATATTTGTGAGCACAGGAGCCAGGCACCCATCCTTGCAGGTGGATGGGGAAGGATGTGGCCTGAAAGCTGTGGTTGTTATCCTCATGGGGAAAGTTTATGGCCTGAGGAAGGTTTGAGTTCTGAGTGCAGGCTACCTGAAACTTAGCCCAGTGCTACTAGCAGGGCACTGTGGGAGTGAGATCAGCCTGGCCAACTGTGTGGGATCTAAGTGAGGCTTACTGCCACATGTTACTCCCCACCTCTTGTACAAGTTCTTCTGAACAGCAGAGCAGTTACACTCACCTATGGAACATTACCTCAGAGGCTTAAGAATGACCTTCCTACCCCAACAGGGGTCACAGCTTGCCCCACACACAGGGAGTCAGAATGCAGACCCACCTGACTCAGACCCCACCCGGTTATGGCCCTCCACACACCCTGGTAGCTTAACACAAAGGACAGAAATTTTGGGGAACTTTATGTCCTCACCCATCACCTGAGAAACCAAAATACCTCCCCTGGGCAACATAAGGCAAGCTCAAATCCCACAGTTACTACTGAAGCTGCTGCTCTTTTGCAGGCACCACCTGCTGGCTGGAGGGTAACTGACAGTCCATTACAGCATCTGCAGGCACACTAACATACCACCCAGGAAGAAGAAAACCAGTGTGTGACCTCAGCTATCACCATTGTCAACAAGAGGTCCTGAGTCTGTCCACATGACCAGTTTACTACTATTGTAACCAGCATTTGAGAAAGACAGCACGCTAAGGCTATCTATAACCAAGGAATCTCACAGAGTTTACGTTACTCCCCTGCCACCCTCATCAGAGCTGGTGCTGGTACCCACTGCTAGGAGACTTGAGGACAGGTCACATCACCAGATCGCTTGCAGACATTTCCTGGCACCAACCTGGAGTATGGCAGCCTCACAGGTGGCTAGACCCAGAAGAGCAATAGCAATCACTGCAGTCTGGCTCTCAGAAACTCCTACTCCTAGGGGAAGAGGGAGAACACTACATGAAAGGAACACCTCATAGGACAAAAGAATCTGGACAGCAAGCTTTGAGTTCCAGATCTTCACTCTGGTGGGAAGTTTCTTTCTGTAGAGATGCAATTGCAGTGCTGGGCTCAGCAGGGAAAGTCTGCAGTACTATCCCAACAGTCAGGCAGCCTTGGTGCTCATGAAGGGTCTTGAAGAAGGGGTCTTCTTTCTCTCCTTGTCCACCACTACAGACACAGCTGAGGCTTCTCCCATGGTAGCTCAGCATGGGTGCATCTACAGACATCCTTCCTGGAACATTGCAGGGTGACTGCATCTCCACAGGAGGAGCACCTTCCAGGTTCAGGCTTCCATGAGAGGCAGAGTCACAGTTCTTCTCTATGTGGAACATCAACATTCATGCAGAAGAAAAGGGGTGCCTGTCTAATCTGAATAGCTGAAACATTGGGACAGGAGTGAGTCTGGGAGGTGGACAGCTTTCCTGCTGGCCTGGCAGGGGGAGCTGGGGTGGCTCCTACCCTTTCCCCTGTTAAGACCTCAGTGCATCTAATTGAGAGCTCCCCCAGCTACCATCATCAAGGCTGGGATCTCTGCCCGCCACTGGCCATTGCACTTACCCACCTGCTTTAGCTACAACCAGTTTCTACCGAGGAAAATCTTCCCTACTCACCTGAGACCTGAATCATCAACTCAGTAAATAGAATACTGGGGAATAAATAAATAAATAAATAAATAAATAAATAAATAAATAAGTGCACACCACACGGAAATGGGATAAGCTTCAAAAGACCTCTGTCATTCCAACCCCATAGGAGATAGTGAACTTATCCACACACCAAGTACGTAGCTTCTACAACCAGTATCTGAGGAAGCTATCATACAAACACTCTCCATAACCAAGGAACTCATACAGAGTCATCACCCTAAAAGCACGACCAACCAAATTAGGCTATAATAAACTACACACATTAAAGTCACATCCTTAAGGGTAGAAAGAAAGAAAGAAAAGAAATCTTAAATTCAAGAATACTTAACAGAAATAGTCTACCCTAATGAGAAGGAACCAGAAAAGTTAATTTTGGTGACACACACACAAAAAAAACCAGAGTTCTATAACAGATCACACTAGCTCCCCAGCAATGGATCCAAACCAAGATGAAATCTTTGAAATACCAAATAAAGATTCAGAAGGTTATTAAGCTACTTGAAGAGATACCACAGAAAGGTGAAAACCACCATAAAGAAATTTTAAAAACAATTCAGGATATAGGCCAGGCACAGTGGTTCACACCTGTAATCATAGCATTTTGGGAGGCCAAGGCGGGTGGATTGCTTGAGCTCAGGAGTTCAACACTAGCCTGGACAACATTGTGAAACTCCATCTCTGCAAAAAATATAAAAATTAGTTGGGTGTGGTGGCACATGCCTGTAGTCCCAGCTACTCAAGAGGCTGAGAGATCGAAGGATCAATTGAGCCTGGGTAGTCGAGGCTGCAGTGAGCTGTGATCATACCACTGCACTCCAGCCTGAGTGACAGAGTGAGACCGTGTCTCAAAAAAAAAAAAAGAGGATATGAATGAAAAGTGTCTTAGAGAGATACATATCATAAAGAAAAACCAGTCAGAACTTCTGGAAATGAAAGACACACTTAGAGAAATATAAAATGCAGTGGAAAGTTTAAACAATAGATTAGAACAAGTAGAAGAAAGAATTTCAGAGCTCAAAGACAAGGCTTTTGAATTAACTCAGTCAGAAAAAGATAAAGGAAAAAGAATAAAAAGAAATGAACACAGTCTCTAAGAAATACAGGATTATGTAAAATGGCCAAAGCTAAGAATAATTGGTGTTTCTGCAGGAAAAGAGAAGGCTAAAAGTTTGAAAAACTTATTTGAGAAAATAATTGAGAAAAACATCCCTGGCCTTGCTAAAGATTTAAATTTCCAAATACAAGAACCTCAAAAACAAACAAACAAACAAACAACTGAGAAATTCACTGTAAAAAGATTACACCAAGGAACATGACCATCAGGCCACCTAAAGTCAACAAAAAGGAAAGAATGCCAAGAGCTGTGAGACAAAAGCAGCAAGTAACTTTCAAATTAACAGAAGACTTCTTAGCAAAAACCTTACAAACTAGAAGAGATTGGAGTCTTACATTTAGCCTCCTTAAAAAGAATAACTGTCAGCCACAAATTTTGTATCCAGCAAAACTAAATTTCATAAATGAAGAAGAAATGAAATTATTTTCAGACAAGTAAATGCTGAGGGAATTTGCCACTACCAAACCAGCACTACAAGAAATGTTAAAAGGAGTTCTAAATCTTGAAACAAAAGCTTAATATGCATCCAAATAGAACCTCTTGAAAGCATAAAACAGGGCCTATAAAACCATAACACAACAAAAAAGTATCTAGGTAATTCTAACATGATGAATGGAACCGTATCTCATATCTCAGTATTAATGTTGAATGTAAGTGGCCTAAGTATTCCGATTAAAAGATACTGGATGATAGAGTAGATAAAAAAAATAAAAAACCATATATCTGCTGTCTTCAAGAGACTCACCTAACATATAAGGACTCTTACAAACTCAAGGTAAAGGGGTGGAAAAGATATTCCATGCAAATGGAAACAAAAGGCGAGCAGGAGGAGCTATTCTTATATCAGACCAAACAGACTTTAAAGCAACAACAGCAAAAAGAAAAAAGGTCATTATATAATGGTTAAAAGACCAATCCAACAAGATTACAATCCTGAATTTATATGCACCTAGCATTGGAGCTTCCAAAATTATAAAACAATTACTACTAGATCTAAAAAATGAGGTTGACAGCAACACAATATTAGTGGGGGACTTAAATACTCCACTGACAGGACTAGAAAGATCACTGAGACAGAAAGTAAACACAGAAACAATGGACTGAAACTACATTCTAGAACAAATAGACTTAACAGATATTTACAGAACATTCTACCCAAGAACTGCAGAATACACATTCTTCTCATCAGCACATGGAAAATTTTCCAAGATAGACCATGTAATAGGTCACAAAACAAGTCTCAATAAATTTAAGAAAATAAAAATCATCTCAAATATCTTTCAGACCAAAGTATAACAAAACTACAACTCAATGACAAAAGAATCCTCAACACTATACAAATACATAAAAATTAATTAATCTGGTTCTGAATGATTTTTGGGTTAACAATAAAATCAAGATGGAAATTTTAAAATTATTTGAAATGAATGATGGTAGTGAAACAAGTTATCAAAATCCCTGAGATACAGCAAAAGCAAAAGCAATGCTAAGAAGAAAGTTCATAGCATTAAATACCGACATCAAAAAGCCTGAAAGAGCACAAAGTGACAACCTAAGTTCACATCTCAAAAAACCAAAGAAACAGGAATAAACTAAACCTAAAGCCAGCAGAAGAAAAGAAATAACAAAAATCAGAGAAGAAATAAATGAAATTGAGACCAAAAATACAAAAGATAAATGCAACAAAAAGCTGGTGCTTTGAAAAGATAAAATTGATAGAACTTAGCAAGATTAATCAAGAAAATAGAGAGAAGATCTAAATAAGCTCAACTGGAAATGAAACCAGAGACATTACAACTGATACTACAGAAATACAGAAGATAATTCAAGACAACTCTGAACACGTTTATGTGCACAAGTTAGAAAATCTAGAGGAAACGGATAAACTCCTGGAAACATACAACCCTCCTAGATTAAATCAGAAAGAAATAGAAATCCTAAACAGACAAATAACAAGCAGAAAGATGGAATCAATAATAAAAAAAAAAAATTGCCAACAACAACAAAAAAAGCCGAGGACCAGATTCACAGCTGAATTCTACCAGACATTCAAAGAAAGAAATGGTACCAATTTTACTTAAACTATTCAAAAAGATTGAGAAAAGGGGTAATATCTTGAGACACATGCCAAATAAACAAATAAAAGAGAAAGAGGGAATCCTCCATAAATGATTCTATGAAGTCCATATCACCAATTCCAAAACCAGGAAAGGTATTAAAATAAGAAAACTACAGACCAATATCCCTGATGAACATAGATGAAAAAATCCTCAACAAACTCCAGCTAACCAAATCCAACAGCATATCAAAAAGAAAATTTATCATGATCAAGTGGGTTTCATCCCATCGAGGCAGAGATGATTGAATATATGCAAGTCAGTAAATATGATAGATCACATAAACAGAATTAAAAACAAAAAACATATGATCATCTCAATAGATGCAGAAAACACATTTGATAAAATCCAGCATTGCTTATGATTAAAAACTCTCAATAAACTAGGCACAGAAGGGATTTACCTCAAAATAATAAAAGCCATATATGACAAACCCACAGCCAACATTATACTGAATCAGGAAAAGTGGAAAACATTTCCTCCGAGAACTGGAACAAGACAAGGATGCCCATTTTTACCACTTCTATTCAGCATAGCACGGGAAGTCCTAGCCAGAGCAACCAGGCAAGAGAGAGAAATAAAGTACATCCAAATTGGAAAAGAGGAAATCAAACTAGCATTGTTTGCCGATGATATTGTGTCTGGAATTGGTGGGTTCTTGGTCTCACTGACTTCAAGAATGAAGCCGTGGACCCTCGCAGTGAGTGTTACAGCTCTTAAGGTGGCGCGTCTGGAGTTTGTTCCTTCTGATGTTCGGATGTGTTCGGAGTTTCTTCCTTTTGGTGGGTTCGTGGTCTCACTGGCTCAGGAGTGAAGCTGCAGACCTCCCCGGTGAGTGTTACAGCTCATAAAAGCAGTGTGGACCCAAAGAGTGAGCAGTAGCTAGATATATTGCAAAGAGTGAGAGAACAAAGCTTCCACAGTGTGGAAGGGACCCCAACGGGTTGCCGCTGCTGGCTTGCAGCCTGCTTTTATTCTCTTATCTGGCCCCACCCACATCCTGCTGACTGGTAGAGCCAAGTGGTCTGTTTTGACAGGGCGCTGATTGGTGTGTTTACAATCCCTGAGCTAGACACAAAGGTTCTGCAGGTCCCCACCAGATTAGCTAGATACAGAGTGTGGACGTAAAGGTTCTCCAAGGCCCCACCAGAGTAGCTAGATACAGAGTGTCAATTGGTGCATTCACAAACCCTGAGCTAGACACAGGGTGCTGATTGGTGTGTTTACAAACCTTGAGCTAGATACAGAGTGCCGATTGGTGTATTTACAATCCCTGAGCTAGACATAAAGGTTCTCCAAGGCCCCACCAGAGTAGCTGGATACAGAATGTCCACTGGTGCATTCACAAACCCTGAGCTAGACACAGGGTGCTGACTGGTGTGTTTACAAACCTTGAGCTAGATACAGAGTGCCGACTGGTGTATTTACAATCCCTGAGCTAGACATAAAGGTTCTCCACTT
Source organism: Homo sapiens (assembly GCF_000001405.40). Lineage (NCBI taxonomy): Eukaryota > Metazoa > Chordata > Mammalia > Primates > Hominidae > Homo > Homo sapiens. Next base: position 46,018,493 of record NC_000012.12, on the reverse strand, counting down.
CCCCACCAGACTCAGGAGCCCAGCTGGCTTCACCTAGTGGATCCCGCACGGGGGCTGCAGGTGGAGCTGCCTGCCAGTCCCGCGCCGTGCGCCTGCACTCCTCAGCCCCTGGGTGGTCGATGGGACTGGGCGCCGTGGCGCAGTGGGTGGCGCTCATTGGGGAGGCTCCGGCCGCACAAGAGCCCAGGGAGGGGTGGGAGGCTCAGGCATGGCGGGCTGCAGGTCCCGAGCCCTGCCCCGCAGGAAGGCAGCTAAGGCCTGGTGAGAAATCGAGCGCAGCACCGGGTGAGCTGGCACTGCTCGGGGACCCAGTACACCCTCCGCAGCCGCTGGACCAGGTGCTAAGCCCCTCATTGCCCAGGGCGGCAGGGCCAGCCCGCTGCTCCGAGTGCGGACCGGCCAAGCCCACGCCCACCCGGAACTCCAGCTGGCCCGCAAACACCCGCGCAGCCCCTGTTCCCGCTGGCGCCTCTCCCTCCACACCTCCCTGCAAGCTGAGGGAGCCGGCTCCGGCCTTGGCCAGCCCAGAAAGGGACTCCCACGGTGCAGCAGTGGGCTGAAGGGCTCCTCAAGTGCCGCCAAAGTGGGAGCCCAGGCAGAGGAGGCGCTGAGAGTGAGCGAAGGCTGTGAGGACTGCCAGCACGCTGTCACCTCTCAATATGATTGTATACCTAGAAAACCCTAAAGACTCATCCCTCATCCAAAAGATTACTAGGCCTAATAAATAAATTCAGCAAAGTCTAAGGTTACGGAATCAATGTACACAAATCAGTTGTCCTGCTATACACCAACAATGGCCAAGCTGAGAATAAAATTAAGAACTCAATCCCTTTTACAATGGCTGCAAAAATAATAATAAAATTAAAATACCTAGAAATATCCTTAACCAAGGAGTTGAAAGATATCTACAAAGAAAACCACAAAACACTACTGAAAGAAATCATAAATGACACAAATGAATGGAAACACATCCCATGATGATAAAAGAATCAATAGTATGAAAATAACTATAACTGCCCAAAGTAATCTATAGATTTAATGCAATTTCCATCAAAATACCATCATCATTTTTCACAGAACAATAAAAAGCAATCCAAAACTTCATGTGGAATCAAAAAAGAGCCCAAATAGCCCCAGTAAGCAAAAAGAACAAAGCTGGAGGCATCACATTACTGGACTTCAAATTATACAGAACTAGAATAAACAATTCTAAAATTCATATGGAACTGAAAAAGAGCCCACATAGCCAAAGAAACCATAAGGAAGAAGAACAAATCTGGATTTGTTCATATTACCCAACCTCAAACTATACTAGAAGGCTATAGTTATCAAAACAGCATGGTACTGATATAAAAATAGGCATGTAGACCAATGGAACAGAATAGAGAACCCAGAAATAAAGCCAAATATTTACAACCAAATGATCTTTGACAAAGCATACAAAAGCATAAATTGGGGAAAGGACATCCCATTTAATAAATGGTGCTAGGAAATCTGGCAAGCCACATGTAGAAGAATGAAACTGGATTCCCATCTCTCACCTTATACAAAAATCAACTCAAAACTGATCAAAGACTTAAGTCTTAAACCTGAAACAATAAAAATTCTAAAAGATAATACTGGACAAACACTTCTGGGCATTGGCCTAGGAAAAGAATTCATGACCAAGACCCCAAAAGCAAATGCAACAATAACAAAAATAAGTGAATAGGACCTAATTAAACAAAAAAGTTTCTACCCAGCAAAAGAGATAGTCATCAGAGTAAACAGACAATCCACAGAAAAGGAGAAAATATTTGCAAACTATGCATCTGAGAAAGGGCTAGTATGCAGAATCTATAAGGAACTCAAATGAATTAGAAAAAAAATCCATCAAAAAGTGGGCAAAAGACACGAATAGACATTTCTCAAAAAAAGATATACAAATAGCCCAAAAATGTATGAAAAAATTATCTACATCAGTAACCATCATGAAAATGCAAATTAAAACCACAATGAGATACCACCTTACTCCTGCAAGAGTGGCCATGATAAAACAGTCAAAAAACAATAGATGTTGGTGTAGATGTGTTGAAAAGGGAACACTTTTACACTGCTGGTAGGAATATAAATTAGTACAACCTCTGTGGGAAACAGCATAGAGATCCCTTGAAGAGCTAAAAGTAGATCTATCATTCGATCTAGCAATCCCACTACTGGGTACCTACCCAAAAGTAAAGAAGATTATATGAAAAAGACACATGCACAAGTATGTTAATAGCAGCACAATTCACAATTGAAAAGATATGGAACCAACCTAAGTGCCCATTGACACCAATGAGTAGACAGAGAGAATGTGGTATATATATACATATATATATATATATATATACACATATATATATATATATATACACACACATATATATATATATATATATATATATACACATATATATATATATATCATGGAATACTACTCAGCCATAAAAAAGAATGAAATAAGGCCAGGCACTGTGGCTCACGCCTGTAATCCCAGCACTTTGGGAGGCCGAGGCAGGTGGATCAGGAGGTCAGGAGATCGAGACCATCCTGGCTAACATGGTGAAACCCCGTCTCTACTAAAAATACAAAAAATTAGCCGCACGCGCTGGTGGGCACCTGTAGTCCCAGCTACTCGGGAGGCTGAGGCAGGAGAATGGTGTGAACCCAGGAGGCGGAGCTTGCAGTCAGCAGAGATTGTGCCACTGCACTCCAGCCTGGGTGACAGAGCGAAACTCTGTCTTGAAAAAAAAAAAAAAAAAAAGAATGAAATAATGTCTTCTGCAGTAACTTTTGCAGCAAGTGGGATGAAGCTGGAGGCCATTATGCTAAGTGAAGTAATCAAAAATGGAAAACCAAATACCGTATGTTCTCACTTATACATGGGAGCTAAGCTATGAGGACGCAAAGACATACAAAGTGATATAATGGACTTTGGGGACTCAGTGGGGAGGGGGGAGCGATAAAAGACTACCTATTGGGTACAGCATACACTGCTCAGGTGATGAGTGTACTAAAATCTCAGAAGTCACTACTATAGAATTCATCCATGTAACCAAAAATGACTTGTACCTTAAAAGCTATTGAAATAAAAAATAAACACAATTTTAAAAGAATCAGTGAACTTGAAGACAGGATATTTGAAAATACATTGTCTAAGTAGAAATAATGAAAAAGAATACAAAGGAACAAAGATTGCCTTCAAGATATGGAAAATTATCTCCAAAGACCAAATGTAAGAATCACTGGTGTTCAAGATGGAGTTGAGCAACAGCAGGGTTAGAAAACTTATTGAAAGAAATAATAACAGAAAACTCTCCACACCTTGAGAAAGAGATAAATATCAAGGTACCAGAAGGTCAGAGAACACCAAACAGATTTGAGCCAAATAAGACTACCCCAAGGCATCTAATAATCAAACTCTCAAAGGTCAAGGACAAAGAGAGGAGCCAAAGGTGGCAAAATAAAAGAATCAACATATAAAGGAGCTCCAATTTGTTTGGCAACGGTCTTCTCTATGGAGAACATATAGGCCAGGAGAAAGCAGAATGGTAAGTTGAAAGTGCCAAAATTCTAAAAACTGCTATCAAAGTATACTGTATCCAGAAAAGCTATCCTTCAAATATGAAGGAGGCATAAAGTCCTTCTCACAAAAGGTGAGAAAATTTAACACCACCAGACCCATCTTACAAGAACTATTATAGGGAATTATTCAGTCTGAAAGGAAAAGAAAAACACTAACATGCAAAAAAAAATTATTTGAAGGTATAAAATCCAAGGTAAAAATTAAGCATATAGACAAACCCATAATACTCTAATACTGTAATTATGTGTGCAATCAATCCACTCACAACTCTAGTACAAAGATACTGAAATGCAAATCTAATTTTTTAAAAAAGGCATAACAACCTGTTAAGAGATAGGTAATATAAAAAATGTACTTGAGGTAAAAATTTGTAAAAATAATTATATATAATATGCATAATGATATATATTATATGTTACATAATATATAATGTAATATAATTATTATATATAAATTATGTAAATTGAGACAACAAAAAGTCAAAATGCGGGATACAAGGAGCTAAAGTGTATTGCTTTCATTTTTTATATTTGATTGTTTCTATTATTGTATTTTTGATCTAAGATAAGCTGTCTTTTTTAAACAACTTGTTATATCTGTAAGATGTTTTTTGTAAGCCTCATGGTAACCACAATACAAAAACCTTTAATAGATTCACTAAAAATTAAAAGCAAAGAGTTAAAACATACTACCAGAGAAAATCACTTACCCACAAAAGAAGGGAGCAAGAAAGGAAGAAGGAAAAAGAGGCGTTACAAAACAATCAGAAAACAAGCAACAAATGGCAATAGTAAGTCCTTACTTATCCATAATAACACAATGTAAAATGGACTTAAATCTCCAATTAAAAGGCATACAGTTGCTGAATGGATGAAGAAACAAGACCCAACTCTATCCTACCTGCAAGAAACCCACTTCACCTATAAGGACACACATAAACTGAAGGTGAAAGGATAGAAAAAGATATTCTATGCAACAGGAAACCAAGAAAAAGCAGGAGTAGCTATATTTATGTCAGATAAAATAGACTACACGTGAAAGACTGTAAAAAGAGACAAAGAAGATCACTATATAATAATAATGGGGTCAATACAGCAAGAGGAACTAGCAGTTATAAATATGTATGCACCCAGCTGGATGCAGTGGCTCACGGCTGTAATCCTAGCATTCTGGGAGGCCGAGGCAGTAGGATCACCTGAGGTCAGGAGTTTGAGACCAGCTTGACCAACATGGTGAAACCCCATTTCTACTAAAAGTACAAAATTAGCCAGGTGTAGTGGTACATGTCTGTAATCCCAGCTACTTGGGAGGCTGAGGCAGGAGACTTGCTTGAACACAGGAGGCAGAGGTTGCAGTGAGCCAGGAGCGGGCCATTGTACTCCAGCCTGGACAACAAGAGCAAAACTCCATCTCAAAAAATAAATAAATAAATATGTATGCAAACAACAATGGAGCCCCCAAGAGTATAAAGCAAACACTAATAGATATAAAGGGAGAGATAGACTGCAATATTATTGTAGGGGGTTTTAACACCCCATTGTCAGTAATGGTCAAATCATACAAACAGAAAATCAACAAAAAAAATTGAAATTAAACTGCACATGAGATCAAAGTGCCTAAGTGACATGTACAGAACATTTTACCCAGCTGCTGCAGAATATACATTCTTTTCATCAGTACATGGAACATTCTGCAGAATAGACCATATCTCAAGTAATGAAACAAGTCTACACAATTTGAAAAAAGCAGACATCATATGACAAGTCTTTTCCGTCCACAATGAAATAAAACTAGAAATCAGGCCGGGCACAGTGGCTCACGTCTGTAATCCCAGAACTTTGGGAGGCCGAGGCAGGCAGATCACTTGCGGTCAGGGGTTCGAGACCAGCCTGACCAACATGGTGAAACCCCGTCTGTACTAAAAATACAAAAATTAGTTGGGTGTAATGGTGCATGCCTATAGTCCCAGCTACTTGGGAGGCTAAAGCAGGAGGATCACTTGAACCTGGGAGGTAGAGGTTGCAGTGAGCCAAGATTGCACCATTGCACCCTAGCCTGGGTGAGAAAGTGAGACTCCATCTCAAAACAAAAACAGAAACCAAAAAAAAGTAAATTAAAATAAAATTTTTTCATTTTTATTTTTTGTGGAGACAGGGTCCCACTATGTTGCCCAGGGTGGTCTTGAACTCCTGGCCTCAAGCAATCCTCCTGCCTAAGCCTCCCAAAGTGCTGGGATTATAGGTGTGAGCCACTGTGCTTGGTCTCCCATATGTTTTAATAAAGAAAATTATGACTCTGAATATTCATTTGTGTAATAAGTCCCAATGTGTCTTTTGAATTATCACTGTTTAAGAGAGTATTTCCTTTTATTTCCTAAAAAAGCTTCCAGAAAATAGCCATAATTTTTAAAGGGTAAAAAACTCACTTAACATTAAAATTTTTAATTAAGAAGTGTACCACTAATTATGCATTACTGCTTTCAGTAGGAGCACCATCTTTTCTGTAGCCTATTTCCTTTAATTAGTTGTAAGACCTTGGGCAAGTCGTATTATCAATCTGGACATCAGTTTTCTAATTTTTAATGAATTACAGGTGGAGAAAAAAGACACATAAACAGTTATATGATTTTTGTGCCAAAGGCAGTGGGGGCAGCTTTTCTAAAGATGACATGAAATCTAGATGTCAAAAAGGAAAAGCTTGAAAGCTTTTATTTCTTAGAAACAAAACCAAAAATTCTGTTTTGGTTTTTAGGAAAATAAGCAAAACTTCATCATAAACAATGTCAAATGCCAAATAACAACCTGGAAAACTATTTGCAATATTTATGCTATGTACTAATATTCCCTGTATATGAAGAGCTTAAAAGAATCTACAAAAGAATAAGAAAAAGACTAATATTCCAACATGGAAAAATAGTTAAAATAACAGACAATTCAGAAAAGAAGAAATCTTAGTCTCTAATTTAAAAATATGCAATAGGCTGGGCACAGTGGCACATGCCTGTAATCCCAGCATTTTGGGAGGCTGAGGCGGGCAGATCACCTGAGGTCAGGAGTTTGAAACCAGCCTGGTCAACATGGTGAAACCCCGTCTATACTAAAAATAAAAAAAAATTAGCCAAGCATGGTGGTGGACACCTGTAATCCCAGCTACTCGGGAGGCTGAGGCAGGAGAATTGCTTGAGCCCAGAAAGCAGAGGTTGCAGTGAGCTGAGATCAGGCCACTGCACTCCAGCTTGGGTGACAGAGTGAGGCTCTGTCCCAAAACAACAACAATAAATGCAACAAATGTGAGTTTGTATAAGTGTGATATCTTTTGTTACCTGTCAGATTGGCAATGACAAAGCAACATGCAATTCTAATGTGGTGGTCTGTTCACACACTGCTATAAAGAAATACCCGAAACTGGGTAAATTATAAAGGAAAGAGGTTTAATTGACTCACAGTTCTGCATGACTGGGGAGGCCTCAGGAAACTTACAATTATGGCAGAAGGGGAAGAGACACATCTTACATAGCAGCGGGTGAGAGAAAGCCAGCAACAGCAGGGAAAACCGCCTTATAAAACCATCACATTGGCTGGGCGCGGTGGCTCACGCCTGTAATCCCAGCACTTTGGGAGGCCGAGGCAGGAGGATCACGAGGTCAGGAGATCGAGACCATCCTGGCTAACACGGTGAAACCCCGTCTCTACTAAAAATACAAAAAAATTAGCCAGTCGTGGTGGCAGGCGCCTGTAGTCCCAGCTACTCCGGAGGCTGAGGCAGGAGAATGGTGTGAACCCGGGAAGCGGAGCTTGCAGTGAGCAGAGATCGTGCCACTACACTCCAGCCTGGGCACAGAGCGAGACTCCATCTCAAAAAGAAAAAAAAAAAACAAAACGATCAGATCTCATGAGAACTCACTATTACAAGAACAGCATAGGGGAAACTGCCCCATGATCCAATCACCTCCCTCGGTCAACACGTGGAGATTACAATTCCCTCCCTTGACATGTGAGGATTACAATTTGAGATGAGATTTGGGTGGGACCACAGAGCCAAACCATATCAGGTGGAATGAAACAAAAGGGGAACCATTTTGTTTTAGGAAAAGAGGTGCTTTTATTTGTGAAAAGTTCTTTAAAACTTACTTGGGATTGGCAAGAAAAAAGAGTAAGATAAACTCCTCTACTTAAGAAATGATCAAGGATTTAGGGATGGAGCCGGGAGAAGAAAATGTAAAGAGAATGGAGTAAAGCACCTTGTGGAAGGCTGGGGCCATGTTGGGAGAAATGGACAATGCTATTCTTTTAAAAATGAAAGTCAAATATTTGATATTAAATTATTTTCTGTATGGTTCTTCATTGATGTAATCTCTGACATCATCTCCTGAATTATTAGTATAAGGCAACTAACAACAATGCCATGTGTGAGTGTTTTATCTGACAAGGCTACTAGTTGCTCTTAATAAAAGTGGACCCTGGCTGAATTAAGCAATACGGGACTTACTAAAAGGAAATTGTTTGTTCATGGTGATCAAAAAGAAAAATAAAAGTAAAAAAAACTGGGCAGTGCCATGAATTACTAAGAGAACTAGAGAACTAGGGTTGAGACTAAATAGCTGAGAAAAACACCCTAAATCATGCCTCAAGCCTGATTCTGCTATTCTAACAGTATCGCTGTAGAAAGAGAGAAAGACCTTACTTTAGGTGTCATTCACTCCCAAATTAAATATTAATTAACGTGTGTCTGAATGATCATATGCCTCTTCCCTAGCACCAAGGAAGATTGCAAAAGTAAATTTTTTTAAATTCTATTTTTTTTTTTTTGAGATAGGTTCTTGCTGTGTTGCCCAGGCTGGAGTGCCGTGCAGTGGTGTGATCACAGCTCACTACAAGCTCCAACTCCTGGGCTCAAGTAATCCTGCCTCCTCAGCCTCCTCTGTAGCTGGGACTACAGGCACAAACCACCACACCTGACTTTTCTTTTTTTTTTTTTGAGACAGGATTTCACCATGTTACCCAGGCTGGTCTTGAACTCCTGGGCTCAAGCGATCTGCCCATCTTGGCCTCCCAGCTATAGGCATGAGCCACCATGCCTAGCTTTTAATTCTTATAGTAAGAAATAATATTAAACTCATATAGTAATAAAAATTTGTTTTAATTCTTACAGTAAGAAATTGACTTTTCCCCCTAGCAAGACTCATAAAGAGTTCCATTTCCAGGCACCAGAATGAGTGAAAAATGACCAAAACAGTCTTATCTGGGGAAATATCAGGAAGTGGACATACCCCCCATTTGGCCTAATATCTGGACATTGACAAAGAATCAATTGCAAAGTACAGAAGAGAACTAGCAAATGGAATCCAGAAACACATAAAAAGAATTATACACCATGACTAAGTAGGATTTATCCCTAAAATGCAAGCTGGCTAATATTAGAAAATTAATTAATTTAATATACCATATCATTAGGATAAGGAACAAAAATGACATAATTATATCAATACACGCAGAAAGAGCATTTGACAAAATCCCTTCAGGATGAAAACATTCAACAAACTAAGAATACAAAGGAACTTCTTCAACCTGATAAAAGATATGTCTTTCATCAGGCATCTCCTTCCGACTTCTCCCTCCTCAACCACCTAAAGTGTTAAGATTACAGGCGTGGGCATGGTGGCTCACTCCTGTAATCTCCACACTTTAAGAGGCCAAGGTGGGAGGATTGCTTGAGCCCAGGAGTTCAAGACAAGCCTAGGCAACATAGTGAGACCTCTTCTCTATCAAAAAAAAAAAAAAAAAAAAAAAAAAAAAAACACCAGGCATGCTGGCACACACCTGTGGTCCCAGATACTCCAGAGGCTAAAGTAGGAGGATTGCTTGAGCCCGGGAGGTTGAGGCTGCCGTGAGCCAAGATTGGACCACTCACTACACTCCGGCCTAAGTGACAGAGTGAGACCCTGTCTCAAAAAAGAAAAAAAAAAAGATATCTACGAAAAGCCACAACTAACATAATTAATGATGAAAGACTGAAAGCTTTCCTCCTAAGATCAATAAATGAAAAGAATGTCTGTTCTCACCACTTTTATTCAACATTGCATTGGAGGTTGTAGAAAGGGCAATTGGGCAAGAAAAAGAAGTAAAAGGCATTCAGATTGGAAAGAAAGAAGTAAAACTATAGTTGTAGATGACACAAACTTGTATATAGAAAATCCTAAGGAATCCACTAAAACATCATTACAAACTAATAAATAAGTTCAGCAAGGTTTCAGGCTACAAGATTGATATATGAAAATTAGTTATATTTCTATATGCTGCAATGAACAATCTGAAAATAAAAGTAAGAAAACTGATGCAATAGCATCAAAACGTATAAAATAGTTGGGAATAAATTAAACCAAAAAACTGTAAAACCTATATCCTAAAAACTATAAAACATTATTAAAATAAATTAAAGAAGAATTAAATAAATGAAAAGGCATTCCATGTGCTGGATTGAAAGACTTAATACTGTTAAAATGGCAATACTTCTCAACTGATCTACAGATTCAACCTATCGTTGTAAAAATCCCAGTTAAATTTTTTACAGAAATTGACAAGCTGACCCTAAAATTTATATGGAAATTCTCTTGAATTTCCTTTAGAATAAGTTTGAATTTGCTTTAGAATAGGAAAAACAACCTTGAAAAAAAAGAGCAAAGTTGAAAGACTCACACTTCCCAATTCCAAAATTTACTACAAAACTACAGTAGCCAAAATGGTAAGGTACTGGCATTAAAGATAGACATATAGATCAATGGAAGAGAATTAAGTGTCTAGAAATAAACTCTCAAATTCATGGTCAATTGGTTTTTGAAAAGGGTGTCATGACAATTCAATGGGGAAAGGATAATCTTTCCAGCAAATGATGCTGGTACAACTGCATATCCAGAAGCAAAATAATAAAATTGCATGTACAGAAAATTTATGCATATACATAGGCAAAAATCAATGGATCAAAGGCCTAACTGTATGAACTAAAACTGCTAAATTCTTGGAAGAAAACATAGGCATAACTCTTTGTGACATTAGATGAGACAATAGTTTCTTAGATATGACACCAAAGCACACTCAAGGGAAGAAAAAAAGGATAAATTGGGCATCATGAAAATTAAAAACATTTGTGTTGCAAAGGATACCATCAAGAAAATGAAGACAATCCATAGAATGGGAGAAAATACTTGCAAACACATATCTAATAAGAGACTTGTATCTACAATATGTTAAGAATTATTACAACTCAATAATAAAAAACCAAATAGCTCAATTAAAAGTGGGCAAATGATCTAAGTGACATTCAAAGAAGATACACAAATGACCAACAAGCACATGAAAAGATGTTCAGCATCATTAGCTATCAGGGAAAGGCAAATTAAAACCACAATGAGATACCAATCCACACTCAACAGAATAGCAATAACCAACAACACAGACTATTGCAAGCAATGTTGAGGGCATGAGGAAACTGGAACTCTCATGCACTGCTGGTGGGAATGTCAAATGGTGCAGCTGCTTTGGAAAAGCAGTTTGGCAGTTCCTCAAAAGGTTAGACATAGAGTTACCATATGACATTTCACTCCTAGATATATACCCAAGAGAAATGAAAACATATGTCTACACAAAAACTTGTACAAGAATGTTCATAACAGCATTATTCATAATAGCCAAAATGTAGATACAACCCAAATGTTCATTAACTGATGAGTGGATAAATAAAATGTGATATGTATATACAACAGACTATTATTCAACAATAGAAAAGAAGTACTACTACATACTGTAAGATGAATAAATCCTGAAAACATTATGCTAAGTAAAAGAAGCCAGTGGCAAAAGCCCCCATACTTGACTATTCTATTTTTATATAATATCCAGAAAGGGTAAATCCACCCAAAAAGTAGATTAGTGGTTGCCTAGGACTGGGGGGTTATGAGAAAATAGGGAGTGACTGCTGAGGTATATGGGGTTTTAGAGGGTGATGAAAAAAATATTGCGGCAGGGCACAGTGGCCCACGCCTGTTATCCCAACACTTTGGGAGGTTGAGGTCAGTGGTTTGCTTGAGGCCAGGAGTTGGAGACCAACTTGGGCAATATGGTGAAACTTCATCTCTACCAAAAACACAAAAATTAGCTGGGCATGGTGCTGTGAACCTGTAGTCCCAGCTACTTGGGCAGTTGAGGTGGGAGGATCACTTGAGCCTGGGAGGTGGAGGTTGCAGTGAGCCGAGACTGGCCACTGCACTCCAGCCTGGGCAAATGAGTGAGACCCTGTCTCAAAAAACAAAAAGAAAAGAAAAGAAAAGAAAAGAAAAACATGTTCTAAAATTGATCGTAGTAACAGTTGCATGTCTCTGTGCATGTCTCTAAAAACCACTGAAGTGTACACTTTAAATATGTGAATTGTGTAGTGTATGAAGTATATCCCAGTATAGCTGTTATTTTTAAAAAATGGAAAAGAGAAATCAATTAAAGTCAGAAATTAAACCCAGGAATTACTAGAAATAAAGTAAAATCCTGGAACTTTCAGAATCACTTGAAGGACTCTACCCCAAGACACAGAATAGAAATTTTAAGAAAATCTTAACTAGTTTTTAAGGGAAGAGTGACTGGCATATGCAAGAGGACTACATTTGTCACAGTCCACTTAGTGTTGCTGTAATGGAATACCTGACGCTGGATAATTTATACAGAAAATAGATTTGTTTGGTTCATGATCCTGGTGGCTGGAAAGTGCAAGATTGGGCAGCTATATCTAGAGAGGGTCTTGTACTGCTTCCTTACACTCATGGTAGAGAGTGGAAGGTGGGGGAGGTGTATGCAAAGAGGCCACATGGTGAGAGAGGAAGCAAGAGAGAGAATCCAAGGAACCCAGGCACTATTTAGCAAGCTGCTCTCTCTGATGTAAAATAATCCATTCCTGAGAAAGGAAGAACTCATTGCAGCCGGAAGGCATTCATGACAGTGGTGTCCCCGTAACCCAAACATCCCCAAGTAGGTCCCACCTCTGAATACTGCTGCCACATCAGGGATCAAATTTCAATATGAGTTTTGGCAAAATAATCACATCCAAACCATGGCAACATTATTGTTGGTGAATATATGAGGAAACTGGCACTCTCATGCCCTGTTGGTATATAGGTGAATTGGTACAATGTGCCAAATTTCTGCACATGTGTACCATTTGGCCTAACAAACCCACTGCAAAACATGAATATACAAAGATGTTCATCAGAATATTTTTAGTATTGAAAATTGAAGATACTCTGTGTCCATCTACAAGCAGTGCTTCTCAATCCCAGCTGACTTCATGCCCTTTTTATAATAAATACTTTGTAACACTCCCTTACAGTCCTGAAATGAAAGTCATAGGTACATACAACAAAATATACTAACTGTAATGTGAAAAAAGCAGTAATTTATAACAAAATATGTATTTCATCATGTAAATAGTCGAGACACAAAACATACTCTAGAGGGCAGTACCACTCAATTAAGAATTATCTATAGCAAACTGGTTAATTTATGTTATATAAAAATAGTGTTTAATCAAAAAGCAGCAATTTGGATGGGTTCAGTAGCTCATGCCTATAACCAAAGCACCTTGGGAGGCTGAGGAGGGAGGATTGACACCAGGAGTTTAAGGTCAGCTTGGGAAACACAGCGATACCATCTCTACAAAAAACAAACAAACAAACAAAAAACAACCAGATGTGGTGGTGTGCCTATAGTCCCAGCTACTGGGGAGGCTGAGGTGGGAGGGTCATTTGATCCCACGAGTTGGAGGCTGCAGTGAGTTTGATTCTGCCATGGCACTCCTGCCTGGGTGACAGAGCAAGACCCTGTCTCTATAAACAGAGTAAATAATAAATAAAAAATAAATTACAGACGTAGTTCTATTTGTATAAATATATAGTAAAAGGTTTAAAATAATGCTCACTAGGATATTGATGAATCGACAAATTGTCTCCAGTTATAGGATTTGGAAAGATTTTTATTTTCTTAAGCATTTCAATGTTTGAATTTCCTTGCCTTTGTAAAAATAAAAAAGTTTACATCAAATCCCATTCGAAGAATCACAACACAGATCTCTATGGTTATGAAGCAAGGTCATGCCATCTGCAGTGCAGACTTAAATCCCTTTGGTAAAATAGTTCCTGGCCTTTTCCAAGTGGCTGTTGAAGATGTTGAAGGGGCAGGTTCTGGTGATCGATGGCCTAGGCCTCTCCTGAGTTGCCTGGTGGTCATAATGGCCAAGCAAGTACTGCTGGGCAGGAAGCTGGAGGTCCTGCACTGCAAGGACATCAGCATTTTTGTCAACTTCTACAGGAACAAGTTTCAGTATCTAACCTTCCACAAGACCAGGAGCACCAACTCTGTCTTTAGACCCTACCACTTCTGGGTCTCTTCTACTTTCGGGCACCTAACTGCATCTTTTGGCTGAACCATGAGTGGTATATTGCCCCATAAAACCAAGTGAGGCCTGGCCACCTGGACCACCTCAAGGTATTTGATGGGATCCACACCCCCTGTGCCCTGCCCTTTGCAAAAGTGGATGGTGATTTCTACTCTACTCAAGGTTGTGCACCTGAAGCCCACACTGAAGTTTGCCTACCTGGGGCACCTGGTTCATAAATTTGCCTGGAAGTACCAACCAGTGACAGCCATTCTGGAGGAGAAGAGGAAGGAGAAGGTCAAGATCCATTAGGAGAAAGAATGGGGAGGGGCAAAGGGAGAAGGAGCAGTTTATGAGGCTGCAGAAACAGGCTGAGAAGAATCTGAAGAATATCGACAAATACACAGAGATACTCAAGACCCAAGGACTCCTAGTCCAAAGCCAATAAAGACTGTTTATTCCTCACTCTTGGCCTAGCCTGCCCTTTTTCCATTGCTGCCCTAGTTTTTGGGGGGACCCAAAGGTGACAGTCCTGATGTGCAAGTGCCACAGGCAATCACTTAGGAGTGTCCTGAAAGACAGTAGTGAGGGGAATATCTCTAAGTGGGCAGAGCTTTGGTTTGTAGCTCAAAGTAAACTTATACATTAATTTATGGGCACTAGCAAAAGGCTTACTGTTTGGTCAGGGGCTGGAAAGACAAAGATTGGGGATAAAGAGTTCTGGGAAAGAGGCATGTGGATGACCCTATAAAATGGATATGAAATGTGAAGATCTTTGCTTCATGTGTTAATAGGCAACAGAGAGAATCCATCACAGAATAAGCACTAGACAACCATAAGGAACAATGCCCTGGCCAGATGACATCAGCCAGTCTCTGCCATTGGCTACACTAGTATTGGCCCAATAGGCACATGACAAGGGTAGCCACAGGTGCAGAGATGGAGGTTATACATGGGCCTAATAGCATGGTTCCCAATTAACAAGGCTGATCTAGCTACCACCACTGTCAAATGTCCAATTTGCCAGCAACAAGGCCAATGCTTGGCCCCCAATGCAGCACCATTCCTTCAGCAGACTTACCAGCTACTTGGTGGCAAGTTGTCTACACAGGACTCATTCCATCCTGGAAGTAGTATCAATTTATCTTTATTGGAACTTAAACATATTCCAAGTTGGATCTCCTGCCTGAAGGGTCTCAGGTAGTACCACTGAGGGCTTAAATTGTTTGATCCACTGACCTAAGATTTGGTGCAGCAGTGGGCACAGGACCATGGGTTCCACTGGTCCTACAATATACTACACCACCTTGAAACTGTACTGATTGAGCATTGGGATGACCTGTTAAAGTTTCAGCTGGGGTGCTAGCTTGCAAAGGATACCCTGTGAGGAGGCATCATACCCCAGGACTCAGTGTACACTCTAAATTGATATTCTCAAAAGTAAGAATACAAGAATCCGGGAGCTAAAGAGTGCAAATAGGAATATCTCCATATATTATGATTCCCAGGGATTTGTTTAGGGAAGTCGTACCTTCTTTCTCCGTAAGTTAGAGATTTTGGCTACGAGAGAGAAAATGTTTCCACTAGCAGACACAGGAAGAGTCCCATTAAACTCTAGCTGCTGCCTGGTCATTTTAGTCTTCTCATTCCAAGAAACAAGGAAAGGAGTCACCATTCTGGCAACGGTAATTGATTCTGATTTCAGTAGGGCAGCTGTTCCACAAAAGGGATAGGAAATAATATGTTTGATACCCAAGTGACCCATTTGTTTTTCTCTTGGTTTTTGCTTGCCCAATTTACATGGTCCATGGAAAAGTGCAGCAGCTACAACCTGGGAAGAATTTGGTGATGAAGGACTTGGCCCCCTCACTGAAGAGGGTTTGAGTTATTCCACTAGGTAAGCTACTGTCTTAGTGTGTTTGGGCTGGTATAATAAATATCACAAATTACATGACCTATAACAACAGAATTATTTCTTGTAGTTCTGTAACCTGTAAAATCCAAGATCAAGGTACAAGCAAATTTAGTGTTTAGTGAGGGCCCACTTCCTGGTGCCTTCTTGCTGTGTCTTCACGTGGTGGAAGAGGCAAGGCAGCTGTCTGGGACCTCTTTTATAAAGGCACTAATTCCATTCTTGAGGACTCTGTCTTCATGACCTAATCACTTCCAAATCACCCACCTCCTAATACTATCACATTGGTGACTAGTTTCAACATACAAATTCTGGGGATACCCAAACATTCAGTCCATAGCAGCTACCTAGACCAGCAGAGAGTGAGGGGACTCTAGAATAGGTAGTGGAAGAAGGAAATGATCAGCACCAATTATGACCCCAGGAGCAGCTTTCGAGGCTGTAATTAATCCCACCAACCTCCTTCTTCTAGTAAGTTTCTCCAGTTTCTTGGAAGCCCCACAGAATTTTGGAAGAGCTGCTCCTAGATCTTATATTCATAGAGGTAGACAGTAGTGGATATCATGCATGGTGTACTGTAGATTTCCCCCAATCCAGGAATGAAGCAGTCATTCCACCAGATGCTGAAAGTGTTTGAGGCTGACAACTCTCAACTGAATCCTTCACTATCACTTACCCTCTGCTGAAGAGGGCCTCCTCACATTTCTGGGTACAGCCAAAATGATTGGTCAATGAGATGGCATAAAGTCTTCAGAGTTCCCTGTAGGAATGGCTGAGGCCTCTGTTGGACTTCACTGCAGGTCAACTTCTTCCTTTGCCTAAGCCTGCTTTCTTTACTCTCTCTACAGGCGGATTCTAAGAGCACCCACCAATGACATTTCTGCACTCTAATCTTTATCTTAAAGTGTTTCCCAGGGAATTTGACCTGTGACAGTTTCCTTTCCCCACATATCCCTTAACTGCGAAGACCCTTAGTATTGTAAATTTTTAAAAAATCAAAATTGCTTAAATAATGAAGGGGACTTATTGGCTTACATAACTAGGCAGGTATCAGGATTTATTTGATCAGTGGCTTACTAATTTCAACAAGAAACTAGTTTTGTTCCACCTCCCTTCTGGGCCTTCCACAGAGGCAGCATTATTCCAAAGCTAGACTAGTTTATGATAACAGAGTAGCTACAGTAATTCCAGGTTTAAATTCTCACCTCTCATCATCCAAACAGGAAGAGAGCACACTTTTAGTAGCTTTATCTGAAGAACAAGGAAGTCTTTCTCAGTCACCAGCTCTTCAAGTGTTACTGACACAAATTGGCTAAAGGAATGCTTGCGTTTCCTAAACTACCCACTGTAGCAAGAAGTATAGGATTACCTTGAATGATCTAAAATAGTCAGGGCTGATTCCTGGAATTGGTGTTGTGTTTTTTTTGTTTTTGTTTTTTTTTAAGTATTTATTGATCATTCTTGGGTGTTTCTCGGAGAGGGGGATGTGGCAGGGTCATAGGATAATAGTGGAGAGAAGGTCAGCAGATAAACACGTGAACAAAAATCTCTGGTTTTCCTAGGCAGAGGTCCCTGCAGCCTTCCACAGTGTTTGTGTCCCTGGGTACTTGAGATTAGGGAGTGGTGATGACTCTTAACGAGCATGCTGCCTTCAAGCATCTGTTTAACAAAGCACATCTTGCACTGCCCTTAATCCATTTAACCCTGAGTTGACACAGCACATGTTTCAGAGAGCATGGGGTTGGGGGTAAGGTTATAGATTAACAGCATCCCAAGGCAGAAGAATTTTTCTTAGTACAGAACAAAATGGAGTCTCCTATGTCTGCTTCTTTCTACACAGACACAGTAACAATTTGATCTCTCTTTCTTTTCCCCACATTTCTCCCTTTTCTTTTCGACAAAACCACCATCGTCATCATGGCCCGTTCTCGATGGTCGCTGTCTCTTTGGAGCTGTTGGGTACACATCCCAGACGGGGCGGCCGGACAGAGGCGCTCCTCACTTCCTAGACGGGGTGGTGGCTGGGCAGAGGCACTCCTCACATCCCAGATGATGGATGGCTGGGCAGAGGCGCTCCTCACTTCCCAGATGGGGCGGCCAGGCAGAGGTGCTCCCCACTTCCCAGACGGGGCACCTGGGCAGAGATGCTCACTTCCCAGACGGGGCGGCTCCCAGAGGGGGTGGCGGCCAGGCAGAGGCGCTCCTCACATCCCAGACGGGGCGGCCGGGCAGAGGCGCTCCTCACATCCCAGACGGGGCGGCCGGGCAGAGGCGCTCCTCACATCCCAGACGGGGCGGCCGGGCAGAGGCGCTCCTCACATCCCAGACGGGGTGGCCGGGCAGAGGCGCTCCTCACTTCCCAGACGGGGAGGCCGGGCATAGGCGCTCCTCACTTCCCAGATGGGGCGGCCGGGCAGAGGGGCTCCTCACATCCCAGACGATGGGCGGCCAGGCAGAGACGCTCCTCACTTCCTAGACGGGGTGGCCGCCGGGCAGAGGCTGTAATCTTAGTACTTTGGGAGGCCAAGGCAGGCGGCTGGGAGGTGGAGGTTGTAGCGAGCCGAGATCACGCCACTGCATTCCAGCCTGGGCAACATTGAGCATTGAGTGAGCGAGACTCCATCTGCAATCCCGGCACCTCGGGAGGCCGAGGCGGGCAGAACACTCGAGGTCAGGAGCTGGAGACCAGCCTGGTCAACACGGCAGAACCCCATCTCCACCAAAAATACAAAAACCAGTCAGGCGGGGCGGCGCGTGCCTGCAATCCCAGGCACTCCACGGGTGGAGGCAGGAGAATCACAGGAGCCCGAGGCAGGGAGGTTGCAGCGAGCTGAGATCACGGCAGTAGAGTCCAGCCTCGGCAACAGAGGGAGACCGAGGAAAGAAGAGGGAGAGAGAGGGAGAGGGACTCGGCAACAGAGGGAGACCCAAGAAAGGGGAGAGGGAGAGGAAGAGGGGGAGGGGGAGGGAGAGGGAGAGGGTGTTGTGTTTTATTCTTTGCCCCCGCCGACAATCACATGACTACTACACAAGGGGTTAGAATGGAAGGGATGTTGTGGAGGCAAACTCTATTGGTTTGCTAGGGCTGCCATAAAAAAAAATCACAGACTGGGAGGCTTCAACAAACAGAAATTTATTTTCTCACAGTTCTAGAGGCTTCAAGTCCAAGATCAAGGTGCTGGCAGGATTGCTTCTTCAGAGGCCTCTCTACTTAACTTGTAGATGGCTGTCTTGTCTCTGTTTTTATGGTCTTCCTTCTGTGTGCACACATGTCTGTGTCTGTATCCCCTCTTCCTATAAGGACATCAGTCATATTGGATTGAGGCCTACCCTAAAGAGCTCATTTTAAAACAGTCACCTCTTTAAAGACCTTATATCCAATATGGTTATGTTCCCATTACTGGGAGTTAGGACTTCAAAACATGAATTTCAGGGGACATATTTCAGCCCCTAACACAAACCCAACATCAGCATCAACTACATACTAATTATGTTCATCTGCTTGACTGCTGCACTAAACCGTAATTTCTTTAAGGGCAAGGACAACATGCCTAGTGTAGAGCCCGGTACACAGTAGGTACTCAATATGAGATAATTGCTTGTTGAGGACTATAAAGAGTTCATTGTAGGCCGGGTGTGGTGGCTCACACCTGTAATTCCAGCACTTTGGGAGGCCAAGGTGGGCGGATCACCTGAGGTCAGGAGTTTGAGACCAGCCTGGCTAACTAATAGTGAAACCCCTTCTCTACTAAATGTACAAAAATTAGCCAGTCATAGTGGTGCATGCCTGTAGTGCCAGCTACTCGGGAGGCTGAGGCAAGGAGAATTGCTTGAACCTGGGAGGCAGAGGAGGTTGCAGTGAGCCAAGATTGTGCCACTGCACTCCAGCATGGGTGACAGAGCGAGACTCCTTTTCAAAAAACAAAAAAACAATACAAAACAAAACAAAAAAAGAGTTCACTGTATTTGGCATGTATGAGGTCACAGTGACTTTTTCCAGGTCAGACTTGACAATATAAAAATTAAAACCTTCTTATGACAAAAGCTACCATGAGCAAAGTCCAAAGATGATTATGAAAAAAAAAATAGTACCTGCACATATGGAATGCCAGGAGTTAAGAGTTGTAATACACAAGGGATCATATAGACAGATCAGAAAAGGATGAAAACTCAACACAAAAATACAACGACTATGAACAGTCCAAAAATATACGAAAAGAAATCAACCGCACTAGCAGTCAGCAAAAAGCGAATTGAAACAACAGTGAAATAGCATTTAATGCCTATCAGACTGACAAAAATTTAAGATTCATGCGTTAGTCCTGGCAAGGGTGTGGGAAATGGGTTTCTTCTACATTTAGATTGGAAAATGAACTAAAATAATTCTAGAGGTAGAGGTAATCTGGCAGTGTGTCAGTCATAACAGCATTGGTCACAAGTAACAGCAAACCCAACTCAAAAAAGTTACTTATTAAGTCACATAATTGAAAGTCCAGACACAGCTGTATTTAGGTTACCTAAATGGTATCATTAGAACCTAGTCTCTTTTCATGTCTACTTTTGTTCTCTGAGGAGAAGTCATTCTCAGTAAGGGTCTCTCTTTGTGAAGGGAGCTTACATATTCACATCGACAAGCCCAGCATAGAACAAAAGTCTTCGATGTAATTCTGCTTGGCTTGAATTGATTCATGTACCTATCCCTGAACTACAGAACATTAAAACTAGTGGGGTACTACATTCTTGTTAGCCAGTCCTGAGTTGAAGTCCAATGTAGAAGCCAACGGAGGACCCAATTCCATTGGTAACCCACAGATTAAGAGAGGAAGAAGACTAATTCATCTGAAAACTGTTACCAAAAAAATCCCAACAAAACATAAAATCCCACAACCCTCTGCAGGCAGTATCTATTAAAATGTATTTTTAAAGGCACGTATCTATGGTTTTGACAATCTCACTTTTAGGATCAATTCTACACAAAAATGCATAATTTAAAAAAGATATACATATAAGGATATTTATTCCAGCATCACTTGTAATGACATAAAATCTGGAGAAATCTGTATTATTTATCAATACAGAAATAGTTTCAAAAATTATGGTACAACAGGCCAAGTGTGGTGGCTCACATCTGTAATCCTAGTGCTTTGGGAAGCTAAGGCAGGAGGATCACTTGAGGCCAGGAGCTGGACACCAGCCTGGGCAACATAGCAAGACCCTGTTTCTACCAAAAGTTAAAAAAGAAAAAATTAGCCAGGCATGGTAGCTCATGCCTGTAGTGCCAACTACTGGCAAAGCTGAGGCAGAAGGATCACTTGAGTCCAGGAATTCAAGGCTGCAGTCAGCTATCATCATTCCTGGGTGATGATAGAGAAAGATCTCAAAAAAATATATATATATGGTACATTAATACTACATAATATTATGCAGCTAGTTAAAAGAATGAGCTAAATAAGCTAAATATTTATAATTAACTGTTGAGTTAGAAAATTTGCCGAAAAACATACATAGTGTGATTGCTTGTAAAAATAAAAATAAAAACCTCCTATGTGTTTCTAAAACACATTAGAAAAAGCATTGAAAGAAAGGTCAATCTTTTAACATTGGTTTTGTCTAGGACTGGGATAGGGAGAAGAAAATGATCTTTTTCTTTATATACTTCTGAATATATTCTATACAGTTCTGTGTTGTTAGAATTGTTAAAATGCATGCTTATTACCTTTTAAAAAGAGTAAATAGAAACTGAAATGAAGAAGTAGTCTTAGAATTTAAATTGTGTTTAAACCTGGAGCAAAGAGACATAAGTTAGTCTTTAGTAAAGGAGACATTAAACCTATCGAAGACCAACTAACTCACGGAGCCACATCCTGAGGGGACAGAAGGGAGCTGTTTCAGAGCAGAGCCCCAATGTACAAGGGCTGTGATGGCTTCACTGTTCCACAGGGAAATGTAAACAAACAGAATAGTATTTCATAAAATTTAGTTTTTTTTGGCTTGAAAATGTACTTAAGAAATCATGGTGACAAATATGGAAGGACTTTACAAATATATAGTTATTTGTCAAGATTAAAAAGTTACCAGCCCTATATCTGTTTTCAAATTGTTAGAAATGTGAATGGTCTATAAATCAAAGTCTGAAAAAAACAGATCTGCAGCACAAGTAGAAAGCTAAGCCATGCCTAGTGTTCCATTATTGGAACGCTAAGCATGTGGGAGTTATTTATATCCTACTGCTCAAGATCATCGCCGAGGTCTGATTGCAAAAATTCAAAAAATTGTGGCCTTGCGCGGTGGCTCACGCCTGTAATCCCAGCACTTTGGGGGGCCGAGGCAGGCAGATCACGAAGTCAGGAGATCGAGACCACCCTGGCCAACACGGTGAAACCCCGTCTGTACTAAAAATACAAAAAATTAGCCGGGCGTGGTGGCGGGCGCCTGTAGTCCTAGCTACTCTGGAGGCTGAGGGAGGAGAATGGCGTGAACCCGGGAGGCGGAGCTTGCAGTGAGCCGAGATCACTCCACTGCACTCCAGCCTGGGCGAGAGCGAGACTCCGTCTCAAAAAATAAAAAAAATTGCAACCTCAGGCATGAATGGGTTAAACAAGAGACTAGATAGTTCTTCCTCTGTGATAGAGGAAGACAAGTAGTCATGGATGTACACAGTTCTAGATAGACTTTGTCGGTAGAGGGAAAGAAGTTGAGGAGTTTCTCTCTTATAATGACTGTGGTGAGATCCTTTGCTGGGTTCAGGGTTAAGGGGCTCAGCAGCAGTGGCTGTGAGGTTGAGACTTCAGGGGAGTGATAAACATGTAGAAGAGGTGGTGTCGGGGATGGAAGACCAACCTGAGAGTGTACTAGAGTCTTCAAATTTGGAATAATACCTGTCTGTATTTGGTTTGGGTTACCACTTCTTTAATGAAATTGTCTTTGGTTCCTATATTAGGGTTCTCCAAAGAGAGTTCTCCCTGTCTCAAAAAAAAAAAAAAATTATGGTACATTAATTCTACATAATATTATGCAGCTAGTTGAAAGAATGAGCTATTTATAATTAACTGCTGAGTTAGAAAGAGTTGAAGAAAAATATATATGGCGTGATTATTTGTAAATATACAAATGAAAACTTCCAAGTGTTTTAAAACATTAGAATAAGTATTGAGAGAAACTTCAATCTTTAACATTGGTTTTGTCTAGGACTGGGATACGGAGAAGAAAACAGTCTTTTTCTTTATTTACTTCTGAGTATATTTTACATACTTCTGTGTTATTTAAATTGTTAAAATGAATGCTTATTACCTTTAAAAAGAGTAAATATAAACTGAAATGAAGAAGTAGTCTTAGAATTTGAACTATTTTTAGATATGAGGCAAAAAGAACTAATAGGATATATAGACACATGAGGGGGGCTTTATTAGGGGAATTGGCTCATGTGATTATGGAGGCTAACAAGTCCCACAACAGGCTATTTGCAAGCTGGAGATGCTGGTATGCTGGGAGTGTGGTTCAGTCCAAGTCTGAAGACCTGATGGCAGGGGTGCTGGTGTTAAGCACTAGAATCCAAAGGCCAGAGAGCTTGGTATTTTGATGTCCACGGCCAGGAGAAGAGTGTATCCCAGTTCCAGAAGACAGAGACTGTTTTTGTTCTACCCAGGCTCCCAGCTGATTGGATAGTGCCTGCCCACTTTGAGGGCGGATCCTCCCCTTGTAGTCCACTCAGACTCACATGCCAATCTCCTCTGTAAACACCCTCACTGACATACCCCAAAATAATGTTTTACCAGTTCTCTAGGTATTCCTAATCCAGTCAAGTTGACATCTAAAATTAATCATCACAGTTTCCTTTCTATTCTCTCCTTCTTTTATTCCATCTCCCTCCCCAGGCTTTGTTTTTATTATTTTATATTCTTTTTATATTTATATTCTTCCTTTGTTTTTTGTTTTCTATTTTCTTTCAAGGAATGCAACTTTGTCTTTGTACATATTTGAAACCACTATACTGTCTGTGAGACACTGTATTCATTTATATACAAGCTCAAAGCACCTCCCAAATAGATGTCCAATTAATTGTTGCTGAAATAAATTTAATTCCACATGGAAAATAATTGGATAGTATCATCCTGATTAAAATACTTCATAGTTGTGACATGAAATAACTATTCTTATTATTATTATTGGCGACAGGGTCTTAGTCTGTTGCCCAGCCTGGAGTGAGGTGGCATGATCATGGTTCACTGCAGCCTCAACCTCCTGGGCTCAAACGATTCTCCCACCTCAGCCTCCCAAGTAGATGGACTACAGGTGTGTGCCACCATGCCCAGCCACCACTGGTTTTTAAAAAAATTCCTGCAAACTATTTTTTCCTCACGTGGATATTGTATATTTGGTCATGTTTTCCTTACATGAATTTTAAAATTTACATCACCCCTTTTTGTTGAGACAGGGTCTCGCTCTGTCACCCAGGCTGGAGTGTGGTGGTGTGATCACAGCTCACTGCATCCCTGACCTCCCAGGCTCAAGCAATCCTTCCAGTGCACGCCACCACAGCTGGTCATTTTTTTAATTTTATTTTTAGTAGAAACTAGGTCTCACTATGTTGCTCAGACAGTATGTCCTTTGAATTCACACATTTTTATTGCCATAAAAATGCCAGAGATCATTAAAATAAAAATGTCCTCTTATAGAAACTAAAGACCAAAAAGTTAGGTGATTTATTCAAAACTGAAAAGGTGTTAAGTGACAGTATTAGAACCATGTTTTTCTTTTTTTTCTTTTTCTTTTTTTTTTTTTTTGAGATGGAGTCTTACTCTGTCACCCAGGCTGGAGTGCAGTAGCGCCATCTCGGCTCACTGCAACCTCCGCCTCCCAGGTTCAAGTGATTCTCCTGCCTCAGCCTCCTGAGTAGCTAGTAGCTGGGATTACAGGCACATGCCACCATGCGGGCTAATTTTTGTATTTTCAGTAGAGATGGGGTTTCACCATGTTGGCCAGTCTGGTCTCGAACTCCTGACCTTAAGTGATCCAACCACCTCAGCCTCCCAAAGTGCTGGAATTACAAGCATGAGCCACCATGCCTGGCCAGAACCATGTTTTTCAATCCAGTATATTTACAGCATGATTTCCTCCCTTAATTTGAACTTGATATTGTATTCTATTTATAAGTTAAATTAAAATAGCAGTTATTTCTGAAAAAGCTCCATCAAAATCAATACGTTGATTACCCATTTTTAAACGTGCCACTGTGGGTTTCTGTTGCTATGTGACAGGACTGATATTTTAAGTGCCTGGTAAAGTGCAACACACCAAGTGGACATTCAGTTTAAGGCTGTTTTATGATGCATATCATTTGTGCTTTTTACAGTTAAAATCAAATCTAAAATGTTGACAATGATGGTTCATATATCAACTTTACTCCTCCATTTTATAGCCCATCTTTTATTGATTTAGAACTCTGTACCTCTTTATTATATTGTAAATTTAAAAAATATGAAAACATCAGAGAGAATAATAAATCTTTACATCCAAACATAATAAGGAGGATGCTGCATATACAGAAATACACATGAACTTTTCTCTGGAAAGAATGGCCTATTACAAACCACCACTCTCTTCTATTTGCACATGAAGGTAGAAACCACAGTGGCATTAAGAGCATTTTTCCTTAAGACATGCTCACATGATATCTAGGAGGCCAACAGTAAGAACGTGAAAACTTAATTCTCTGCTAGGAAACAAATACATCAAAAGATCTGGTATTTTTAGTTTTGATGAAACTATACTGTTATTATCAATTTAAAATAGTTTTCTATTTGGCAGATTTTATCATTTGGGCTTAAATTTTGAGAAAAAACACTTTCCTAAAACAAAACTGAGATTTTTAAAAATATATTTAGATTTTAAATATATATAGATTTTTTAAAATATAAAACATACACAGAAGCATGTTGCACCAGGAGTCCATATCAGGAGTTACACTCTCTAGAGTGAATCCTAGAGATTGTATACATAAAAAAGCTACACCCTTATTCTGTTGGATGGCTCATAAATGTTGATCTGGTTATAGCTTTCCACACTAATTTTCACTATTTCTCTTAACAATCATCCTTTATAATCATTCTTTATATCCAAATAGTATATATCCTTTACTATTTGCTCTGATTTTGACAGGGAAAGGTCCTTCATAAGAATTTTGTTGTTCCATCAGAAGAAAGCATTTTAACGCCTCTAGCTCATTTTCCCCTCAAATATCCCAAATACAGTAAAGCCACCTAAATTCCCAAACCCCATATCAAAAACAGTACACTGAAAAACTCCAAAGACTTTGACAGCGACAAGACCGCCATTCATGTGTTCCTTCAGCAAGTGCCAGACGCTGTTATGAAAGTGATAAGACACTGTCCCAATCCTCACAGTGTGAGACAGTGAGCAGACTCAACAGAATGCATAGGATGAAAGTGCCAGAAAAGCGACGTCCTCAGGGCGGGAGCAGGGGACGCCGCAACGTAGTCTGCGAGAATGCAGGAAGGCGGCAGTGAAGCGGTCGGTCGGCGGGGCCGCGGCAAAGTGGGGAGGAAACTCATCCCGGGCAGGCGTCAGGGTGGCTGGAGAGCGCAGCACGCGCGAACAGAACGGGGGCAGGCGACAGGAAAACGTGTGAGCGCGCGGCTGAAAGCGACTGGGACCTGGGTGAGCCGCGCGCGGGGAGCAGAGCTTAGTCCTGCGGGAGCCGCAAGCAGGACAAGGGCGTGGGTGGGAGGACTGGAAGGTCAGCTGGTAGATGGGGGACACTGAGGGCAGGCAGAGCAACCGGAAGCTTGCTGCAGTCGACGAGAAGAGAAACTAGGAGGTTAAATAATCAGTGACTTTGAAAAAGTCAAAATACCTCCGAGGTAAAACAAAACATTTAACAACCCGCCGGGGGAAAAAGTGGAGGATGGCACACACGTCACTATCTAACCACAACGCGGAGGCCTTTTAAGTAAATAATGATAAAGTTTTTGTTGTTGTTTGAGACAGGGTCTCGCTCTGTCGCCCAGGCTGGAGTGCAGTGGAACGATCTCGGCTCACTGCAACCTCCGCCTCCCGGGTTCAAGCGATTCTCCCACCTCATCTTCCCGAGGAGCTGGGACCGCAGGTGCGCGCCACCACGGCCGGTTAATTTTATTTTTTGTAGAAACGAGATCTTAATACGTCGCTCAAGCTGGTCTCGAACTGCTGAGCTCAAGCGATCCGCCAGCCTCGGCCTCCCAAAGCGCTGGGATTACCGGCGTGAGCCACCGCGCACCTGGCCCAAATTTAATTTTGTGATGTGGGGTTAAGACATGGGAAAGCCCCTAGGCTCGGGGAGTCAGGCGGGAAAGCTCTCCCCCTGGCATCTAAAAAAATGCCCACCAGAAAGGAGGAAAGGTGGGCTTCCAAATTGCCGACTCTTCACTCCACAGGCTGCATTTCAGGTGGGCAGCGCAGCCAGGTGAACACTCAATCCACCGCAAACATGCGGACACTCTTTTCAATATCAGATTACCATAAAGATAAGGAGCACACCCTGCGCAAAATCCTTCCTGTCCAGTTCCCTTAAAGCCTCTTTCATTGTCCTCCGCGACGCAGCCTGTAAAACTGCCAAAGGAGGGCAGAGGCCAAAGTCCACGCGCTGCGCATGCGCACCATCCGCAGTGTGGGCGAAGGGCGGTGCTGGAAGGACGTTTCCCAGAAGGCCCCTCCAGCGCAGCTGCCCTTCCTCCCGCTCACAGGCCGCGTGACGTGACTCCACCCACCACGCTTCTCGGTCTCAAACAGCAGTTTGCCAGCGCCCCCCTGCGGCCCAACTGGGTACTACGAACATGCACTCAGGGCCAGAGCGAGCGAGTAAGCAGAATGTGGCGAGTCCGGCTGCCGCCGTCGTCACCTTAGCGCGCCGACAGCGAGGGAAGGGAGGAGGAGGGAGACGCGCAGGGAGGGGAGGGGAGGGAGGAGGCTAGACAAGGCGGGGGAAGGGGGAGTAGCGGTGGCTTAAGCCGCGCGGAGCAGCGCAACCTGGGTCGCTCCCTGCTTCGCCGCCGCCTCCGGACCGAGCCAGCGGAGTCAGTGTCCTAGAGACCCTGTAACACCACAAAGCGGACGAAGGAGTCCATGTTGGGGAACTTGGCAGCGGAGTGACTGGGACCTGGGAACCTACTGTGGGGCCGCGGCCGGACCGAGCGCCTCGACCTCGGTCTGAGGTAAACACTGGTCGACCCGCGGGGTGGATGGGCTTGGGCAGCTGTCTGGGAGAGACGAGGGTTAGCGGCCGGCGCAGAGCGCTGGAGCGGGCCTAGGGCGACGCGAGGGCTGACAAAGTTTCGGAATCTCGCGCGGCCCGTGCGACGTCGTGCGCTGGGAGGAAAGTTGGAGCTACCTCTCGAAGTGGGGGAGGCTGCGGCCGGGAGGGCCCCTTTCCCTCTCGCTGCCCCGCGAGGGAGGCTCGGCCCGGCCCTGGGCCGCCGCCGCCTCTCTGTCGCACTCTGTCCCATTTCCTCCTTGTGGCCTACGCGTCTCCCGCCGCCTTAGCTGGCGAAGCCTGTCCCCGTCCGGGTGCAGGGTCCTACGGGGGGGGGGGAAGGGGCTCCACGCCAGAACCGCCACAGACACCCTCCTCCCTGCAGTGGAAACGTGTCCTGCTGAGCTTCCGGGCGCTCCCGACCGCGGTGTCGGCTTTTCTTGGGAGACTTTGGTCGCGAGCGTCCAAGCCCGCTAGTGAAACCAAACTTTACTACGCCGTGACCTCTCGAGTGCGCGAATGGGGAAGAGCCGGCGCTTCTAAGCATCAGCCTTTTTCACTCCTTGATCTGAACTTCAAACTACTCATCCACCCCCAGTGTTTTAAATTCGCTACCTGGGCTGACAACTACGGGGCCGGGAGATATAAATTTAGCCTAATCAGTCGCCCCTTCTGAGACCTAGGAATTTTGAACCATTAAAAAGATTTCCTACAGATGGCTGGCGGTCTTGCCACCAACACGTATTTTGAAGTATTGTTTCAAAAGTAGACGCCTGATTTAGAGTACTTGATTTAGACATTCACGGATTCAAATGTTGAATTTTGAAATACTTCCAATATATTTCCGTATTGTATTACATACAGTGTCTACCAGCTGACTGTTGTTCATTCATTTTGGATTACATTTTGGCTAACATGCTACCACTGACCTAAGATACTTAAGCAAAACTGCTGAAAAATGTTTTTAATGCTTTGTGTAGTAGATGCTG
Organism: Homo sapiens; assembly: GCF_000001405.40. Classification (NCBI taxonomy): domain Eukaryota; kingdom Metazoa; phylum Chordata; class Mammalia; order Primates; family Hominidae; genus Homo; species Homo sapiens. Next base: position 45,989,325 of record NC_000012.12, on the reverse strand, counting down.
ATGTTAAATTTTTTTCTCCGATTTGGGAATTTTCCCCGAATTTTGGGAAAAGCATATTAATAAATGCATTATTTTTTCGTTTTAAAAGAAAAATTAATTTCTACATATCACCACCTACCTCAGCAGCAGAATATCAGGGCAGTACATTTTAAAATAACGGTTGGTTTTTGTATTTTATTAGTAATTGTATTAAAATTTTGACATGTAATCAAGTCTGTTTCTAAACAATTGCTTTCTCTTTCCTGTTTCTTTGGCAGTTGGCTTGATCATGTCACTATTTTGGTTAAAAGATGCAAGAAAAAGTTCATGGGCCTTTTGTTTTTGTTGTTTTAACTAAGCAAGAGAAATGAAATCTTGAAACTGTCTTTGGATTTCTTTTGTTTTATATTATCCTATCGGATAATCTGAATTTATATTTTTTATGCAATGTGAGTTTTTTAAAAACAGTTCTTAGGGTAGCTGCATTTTAGCTATAATATTTTTTGGTGCTTGCAGATATTTTAACAGTCATTCAGTTTTTCACATTCAGATAGTGAACTTTTTGCCTGAGAGTTTGAGTACATTTTAAGATTTCACTGGGGTAAAATTTGAATGTTTGCTTACTGTAAGTATACTCATGCTTTAAAGACATTCTTCAGTATAAAGGGGAAGAAAACTGTAGAAGAAAATTTAAAGTTTCTAAATATGTTGCCAGAAAACATGTCATGGAGAAAATTTTACGGATAATTTTTTAATTTTTTCTGTTAATACCTTCATGTGGTAATAGGGCTAGTGTGTTAAGATCGAAACTTTTCAGGAGTTACTTAGCTCTCTATCGTCCTTTGGCACCAACTAGAGCTTAGACAGTTTTCTGGAAAACCTGTGCTTTTATTCAGCAGAGATAGGATGAATCAGTGCAGTTACATGATACTGTTGATTCATCATCAGTAACATCTTTTAGTAATCAGAAAATACAGTACTATACTACCCATCAACTTAATACTGAACTTTTAAAGTATATCAGAGATAGTTGTAGCACCTTAATTAAAGAGAGTAGCAGGCATAAAAGTAATAAAAAGAAAGTCAACTGTAGAATAATTTTCATTGTAACTTCCCTTTAGCAAGCCCTGCTATCACCTGCTTTTGTCTTTTAAGATGTAAATTGTACCTTGACTTACCTTGCCCAGTGAAATAAACTTAAAATCCAGATTTTTAATTATACTCTGTCCCCCAAAATAAGTTAATAACCTTGCACCTTGTCTTGCTTCTGAGCAGTAATAACTGTTAGTAGTGCTGAGTAGAGCCCAGAGTTAAAATATCCAGTATCATTCTCTTGCTATTCCCAAAACTCATCTTTGCATTGTATTTTTTTAAGTTGTGTCTATGAACTTAATGTATGAAATCCTAGTACATAGACACATAAAAATTCAATACATAACGTAAAAACACAACCACTATTTTGCTTTCAAAAATATCTTCCTAAAAAGTCACTGTGACCTTTGCTGATCTACAGTCTTTAACACTCCATAGCCAGAGTGATCCTGATAAAATGTCAGGTCATGTAACTTCTTTTCTCAAATGGCTTCCCTTCTCAGTCATAGTAAATTCCATACTCCTATGGTCTACAAGGCTCTATGATTTAAGTCTCTTCTTCCTCTCTGACTTCATCTCCTCACCCTTTCTCCAATCTCCTTTCCCCTACGCTGTTGTGGTCTTCTCTAACTACTGTGTATAAAACAACAGCCTTCCCCCGATATTTTGTATCTGTTTTTATGCTAGATTTTTCTCCATTGCATTTATCATTTTGCAACATATTGTGTAATCTAACTTAGGTTTATTGTTTATTTTCTTCACTGTGATTTATCTTCTGTGAGATCAGCATTTGTCAGTATTTGTCACCTAAACACCTGAACAATGCCTTCAGTGTAAGTTAATGAATTAACCTGCTTTCAGCTGTAAACGTTACAAATAGTGATTGTGGTTTGAAACTTTAGACTAAGCAAGTCTCAGTCTGTAGCATAAACTGCCAAGTTACTTATATCCATGCATGTGGGCCATGTTCATTTCAGGGGTCCTTGTTTTTTGTTGTTGTTTGTTTTGTTTTTGCTTTCAGATAGCATCTCGCTGTCTCCCAGGCTGGAGCGCAGTGGTGTGATCACAGCTCTCACTTTGGTGCCCAGGCTGGTCTCAAATTCCTGGGCTAAGTAATCATCCCGCCTTGGCCTCCCAAAGTGCTGGGATTACAGGAATGAACCACCACACCCAGCCTAAGGGGTCTGTGTTTTTAGAGGAGTATAACAGTATGTGACCTTGAAACTATCATTTGTCTTAATATAGAAGGAGCTAAGAATGCCTCAGCTAAGAGTAGAGCAGTGCATTAGCCTGATTTCATGCTGCTGACATACCTGAGACTGGGAAGAAAAAGAGGTATAATTGGACTTACAGTTCCACATGGCTAGGGAGGCCTCAGAATCTTGGTGGGAGGAGAAGGGCACTTCTTACATAGTGGTTGGTGGCAAGAGAAAATGAGGAAGATGCAAAAGCGGAAACATCTGTTAAAACCATCAGATCTTGTGAGACTTGTTCACTACCATGAGAACAGTATGGGGGAAACTGCCCCCATGATTCAAATTATCTCCCAACAGGTTGCTCCCACAACACGTGGGAATTATGGGAATACAATTCAAGAGAGATTTGGGTGGGGACACAGCCAAACCATATCAAGCAGTATAACTATCTTATTGTTAAAAATGTTGTCATTTAGAAGCCATATTAATTTCTTATAGTTCCAGAAGGCAAAACTAGGATTGTGGTGATGTGTATTGAAAGGGAGGAGAGAGGCAGCAAGAGATCTGGGAGAATTAGTTAGCAGGCTTTTTTAGTAGTCTGGGAGAGATGAGGATAGCTTGAATTAGGATGATAATTGTGGAGATGGGCTCAGTGGATGGGATTTGAGACCAGCAGGCCTTAGTTAATAGATTGAAAGTGAGGGAGAAAGAAATTTGAAAGATGATTTCTGGATTACATTCCTGGGTTGTGCCAGATAAGGACCAGAGCTCTTTTGGTTTTAACATATCAGGCTTAAAGTACCTTTGGAGCTTTCAGGTAGAAGTTCCTGTAAGCAATTAGATACATGGTTCTGAAATTCAGAGGAAGAGTATTGGCTGTAAATGGAAAACTGGAATCTCCCATACAGGTAATTGGAACTATAGGTATGGATGAAATTGCCTAGGTGAGGGAATATAACTTGGGGGAAAAAAGGCCTAGGATGGAACCACAATGACCTCTAACATTTAAAAAACTTTGCTGGAAGAATGTGAGCTCCCAGAGAATACCGTGAAGATCAGAGAAGTAGAGGGTGAGTGGGGTGTTACAGAAACCAAAGAAAGAGAATGTTACAAGGAGATAGAAGTCAAGAAGAGAGAGTTGGGTCAAGTGTTGATAAGAGCTTAATAAGGTAAGAACTAAAAAAAATTCTGTTGAGTGTAACAATGTGAAGCTCATTGGCCTTTTGAACAAGCAGGACAGTAAGGTTCTTATTTTCAGATTGATGCTTCTCTAATTGCTTAACTAGATCTAAAAGTATTGAGATCAAAGTTTAAGAAATTATCACCCATATTACAGAAGATAGCTAATGTTTATCAGATATTTACTATGTGTCAGCCACTCTGTTGTAGACATTTTACATACATTTTCATTTGATCTTTTCGGTAGCCTTGCAATGTTGACTGTGTTAGTCCATTTTACAGAAATGAGTCTGGGGCTCTGGAGAAGTTAAATGACTTGTTAAGTGTCAGAGAAGTTGCTAAGTATCTATAGCTGGGTCCATCTGACTTTCGGCCTTCAGTTGTTTCACTGATCTAGAGGAACCTCTAGATCAGATTAAGGTACTAGAGCTCAAACAGAATGGTAAAATCTTCAGTATGGGGTATCTAAGAAGTATGGGGTAAGGGGTGCATCCCAGGACAGGATGTCAGAGCCTAAGTAGAGAAAAAAGTTATGCAAAGAAGGTAGGGAACAGCAAAGGCAATGGGAAACTGGCCACATGCAGGGGGTTGATCAAATTTAGTAAGTAATGATAATGAGTCAGAGTTCTCCTGGTGAGAAGGGAGTTATAAATTTGGTAATGGAGAAAACAAGAACAAATCTTGCGGACTGAAATTGGAGAAATTGGTACCAATTCATGGTTTTCTACACATAGACATTGAAATAATTAGAGCATCCAAATCTTGTTTTCTAAATACCTTTCTCCACTAAAAGCAACCACTCTTTGGAGGAATGGTTGATTCCAGTGCTGGGGCAGGGAAAGTACAAGGTGAGCTTCATTTTCTTATGTCCAAAAGTAAGGAAGTGGCTGGGTGTGGTGGCTCACACCTGTAATCCCAGCACTTTGGGAGGCCAAGGCAGGTGGATCACTTGAGGTCAGGAGTTCAAGGCCAGCCTGGCCAATGTGGCAAAATCCTGTCTCTACTAAAAATACAAAATTTAGCCAGGTGTAGTGGCCCATGCCTGTAATCCCAGCTACATGGGAGGCTGAGGCACAAGAATCGCTTGAACCTGGGAGGTGGAGTTTGCAGTGGGCCAAGATCACCACACTGCACTCCAGCCTGGGCGACAAAGTGAGACTCCACCTCAAAAAAAAAAAAAAAAAGGAAGTGCGAAGAGCAAGTCAAAAGAAAACAGAAACTATCTTGAAAGGCTTTCACTAGCCAAAGCTGAGATAATCTCGGAATAAATAAATAGCAAGTTTAATAAGGAATGGGCTATTTTACAGTCTCAAAATACTTTTCCACAAAAATGCATGTTAATTACCAATGGGACAAAAGTAACTTTACAGTGAAGACGCTTGGATGATATTACCTCAATCAAGTTATCAAAGTGCACATCATCAGTAATGAGACAAACAGAAATTGTATGCCATTTGACAGGACACAATGAGAAAAACACATCATAATTACTGTCAAATAGTGTACAACCTGAATCTAACCATAAGGAAATATCTGGCATCCTACAGAAAGAAAACTACATCTGAAAAAAAATAAAAGGAAGTATCAGGCAAACCCAAATTGGAAGACATTTTGCAACAGAACTAATCTATAAGCTTTAAGGAGTACAAACAAGGTCATGAAAGTCAAGACTGGGGGACTGTTCCAAGTTGAAGGAGTCTAAAAAGAAGTAATCCCTTTTTCTTTTTATTAAGGTAAAAAGAATCTTAATCTGGGTTCCCTCACTATTCGTAACATGAGCATTTTGCTCACTAACTTGGGCTCCAATGCCTCCAGCCAGAATAGCAGCATACAGACGTGTTCTTTTAAAGTTTATACTTATTCCTTTTTGTAAAAGATTATTATACCAACACTTTTAGTGAAAATTAAAAGTGTTCTCAATCTTTAAACCCTCTTGAGTAAATTTAAACCCTCTTAAGACTCACATCTCTATTAGGGATAAGACTAAACTTCTTCCTTTTTTATCCTTTCTTTTACCCTAGACTTCTCAGATGTACTTTTAGGGTTGTCTTTTTATTGTAATTTTGACAGTAAGGTAAAAATTAGTTCAGTCTTTGTGTGTGTGTGTGTGTGTGTGTGTGTGTGTGTGTGTGTGTGTTTTAGGTTTAGGAGTCAGTCAGACCTGGTTTTGAACTCTGGTTGTCCTAGATGACTGATTGTCACCTTTTATAGGTGATCTAATCAGTATCTCAATTTCCTCACCTAATTTTTTAATAACATTTATCTAAGTCCAGTGGTAATAGCAGCTAACTCTGTCTCTGTTCATACTCTTAAGTTAGCTTTGTTTAGTGGGTGATTTTTAAGCCTTTTTAATGCAGTGTTCTGTTGTTCAGTATTGACGGTGTTTTAATTTTTTAAATGTATCGTGTTCTGGTATTTTGAGGATTAAATGTGGAAAGGCATGCCAGAATGTGTAGTTCATTACGTAGTATATTGTAGGCATTCACTCTACCCATAGTTCTGAACTCCAGGTTTGTTGATATCTATGTGTCTATTAGGTCTGTGCCCTAGGGGAGCTTAGTCCTAATCAGGCCTTCTTTTTTGATATCTAGTCTTCTTTCCATTTTCTCCTAACTAGTTTCTCGTACTTTCCATCTCTCCACCACTGCCACCTTTCTGCTACTACATTAAGCTCAAAATCCCCAATTTAAACATCTTATAAACCACTTTCAAAACAAATAAATGGGAGAGAGATAGACTTGAAGTCCACCTAAGGAAACACAACGTAAGTCCTAATTGGACTTAAGAACATTAACTTTTTGCACTTTATTATCATTATTTTTCTTTACTTGCCTCAGTCGTTAGTTACTCCCCCACTGGTACATTTAAAAAAATGTCTTAGAAACTCTTTGCCTATTTCTCACATTTGGCACTTGGCATATGCTATCTTGTTCATCTTCTGTATCCTATGTCTCCAAGTCTACTCCTTGTACCGGGAAGTGATACAGTATCTTAATCCGTCTTTATATTCCAATACCAGGCTCAGTACCCTGACCACAGTAGTTATTTAGCAGCTTAAAGTAAACCAAAACAGAAGTACAAACATGAAAGACAGCGGCCAAAACAACACTGTTATAAAAATTCTCTGGGATCAATGAAACAGTCTACAAATGATAGGTTTTGTTTGGTTTGTTTTGAGACACAGTCTCATTCTGTCACCCAGGCTGGAGTGCAGTGGTACAATCTCGGTTCACTGTAACCTTTGCTTCCCAAGTTCAAGCAATTCTCCTGCCTCAGTCTCCTGAGTAGCTAGGATTACAGGCGTGTACCACTACACCCGGCTAATTTTTGTATTTTTAGTAGAAACGGTTTCACCATGTTGGTCAGGCTGATCTCGAACTCCTGACCTCAAGTGATCTGCCCGCCTTGGCCTCCTGAATTGCTGGGATTACAGTCATGAGCCACTGTACCCGGCCCCGATAGGTGATTTTTTAATGTAAATATACGTATAGCACTATTTTGTATGCCTAGATGGCTTGTCAAGAAGAATGATTCTGTAAGCTGTTATAATGGGGAATAAATATTAATGACTCAAAAAATTTATAAGCTATCACTCACCTGAAAACTTCATCATAGAAAACCCTTCAGATAGGACAGTTTTAATGTAATAGGTCATATTTCTTTAGAAACTGTTGTGCATGTCCAGTTACTTAAGACATCAGCTTGAGTAATATGAGGGAGATGGATGAAACGAAATAGCTTCATTGTTTCAAAACTGCCACAGAACTAGATATAATTAAAACTGAATGGAGGGTAAACAAATCCACTTAGACTCTTTAAAAAGGTTTAAAATATAGTTCATATTAATATAGCCATTCCAACCATCGTTTATTATTGTTTGCATTATTTGGCATATCTTGTTCTATATGTTTAACCTATCTTTATTTTTAAAGGGAGTTTCTTGTAGACAGGCATATAATTCAGTCTTTCTTTAAAATCCAGTTTGATAATCTCTTTTAATTGGTGTGCACGATTATTTACATTATTTACATTTAATATAATAATGTTTGTTCCTCTATTTTCTTCCTTTTTTGGGAGGTATGGGGAGAGACAAGGTCTCACTCTGTCCCCTGGCTGGAATGCTATGGGATGGCCATAGTTCCCTGCAACCTTAACCTCCTGGGCTCAAGTAATCCTCCTGCCTTAGCCTCCAGAGTACCTAGTACTACAGGCATGCCACCACACTCGGCTAATTTTTTAAATTTTTGTTAGAGATAGGTGAACAGTCTAGAGTTAATCTGTAACTAGAATAACTTGGGGAAATGAGATAAAAAACAAAAACGTATTTATTCAAGGATGACGGATTATATTTATTCCTCAGAAAATGGGAGAATGATGTTTCGGTTTTTGGATCTTTTTGGGAGACAGGAATCTCAGAGCTGTAAGGGGCTATTTGTTTAGAGATTATTTTGATACAACTTTAAGGGACTTGGATTAATATCAGGGTTATTTCTTTGGCATGGATTTGTAAGACTGTTCTCTACATCATCACATCATTTAGAATAGTTTGTTTTAGGGATGAGTTCATTCATCGTTTTTGACTCTTCATCCCTGTTTCCTTTCTCATTAACATGTCTTACTGATATACTTTTATGGTGTCGAACAAATCATATCCTGTGTTAGTCATGGTGAACATAGCAGAAGACTGGCCAGTTAGAAATTTCACTTGAAAAGGTAGTTGGCAGTTTGTAGCATTTATAATAAGATTACATTTAGGTGATAATCCGAATATCACTCAATCTCTAACAGCATTATTTTGGTCTGAGTTGTCTCTTCCAAAAACCAACTATATATACTCTTTGACAATATTTCTTTATTTTGTTAATTTATAAATCACCTGCCCTGTTTCCCTAAAACAAACTATTCTAAATGATGTGATATATTAGGTTATGTCCTAAGACATTGATAACTAGTATCTTACTAATATCAGTTTAGTTTTTCCTATTAGTGTATTTTGGGAGGAGGAACACTCCTCCCAAACACAGGTATTTTGGAACCTGGTGGAGCAGGACAGTCTTAATCCAGTTATTCTACTCTCAGGTTCTTTGCACTAAAAGGGCATGAGAGTCACTCACTAAATAGAGCTAATTTAAGAGAATGGAACATAGAGTTAGCTGCTATTTATTACCACTGGACTCAGATAAATGTTACTTAATTAGTTACATAAATACTGTAAGGATATGATGTTCAGGTGAGTTGTTGGGTAACTTATGACCCTTATAGAGATCCTTTTGTGTATTAGGCCGTTTAGTGTCAATGGTTAAGAGCATAAGGGAGCCTGATTATCTGAATTTCAGTCCCAGCTCCATCACTTGCTAGGTGTTTCCACAATAAAATGGGGGTAATGACAGTATCACTGTAAAATGAAGTTAATCTCTCAAGATCATAGTGGTTTGTTAATATATGTAGAGAGAGGGACTAAGTGTGTTTAGAATCATGCCTGACAAATAACATGTGCTATGGTTGCTAAACATATCCATAAATAATTGGGCATTCCTTTGAAGGCATGCTGTTGGATCCTAGTAATATAGTGATAAAGAAGGCAGGTTAAAAGCTTAACATTTTTGCAGTCATTTGAATCATTAAGAATGTTACCACTTCTTGTTGTTTGAATACTCATGATTTCTGGTGACTTGGATTAATATTTGTGTTATTTGTTGGTAAATTGCTAATGGGTTCCAGTCCTACTACTTAATGCTGGCTTTTCGATCTTGGGCATGTTACTTATTTTCATTGTATGTAAAATTGAGATGCCTCTTTCACCAGGTTCTATAAAAGTTAAATGAGATCATTCGTGACCTGTTAGAAAGTAGTAGCCAAAAATAATATGAAACGCTTACACAAAAATCTAGGTTATGGGCATTTGTAGCATTTGTGATATGATTACATTTAGGAAAGAATCCCAATATCTATTCATGCCTTATGCTAATGTGGCAGAATTTTTTTTTTTTTAATTTTAAGTTTGCATAGTATGTAATACAATCGGTATCTGGGTTAGAGTTGTATTTCATAGGAGTAGGATTGTGAAATGCTTCTTTAAATTATGTGTAAAATATTCATATGAGGGCACATTGATACATATACATTTATGTAACATAATTGTACTTATCTCTGAGATACCTAGAAGGATGAGTTTGTGTTTAAGAAATTCAGATAATAGGCATAGCTAGAGAAAAGAGTAGATGTCCTGTTTACACTGTGCAAGATAATTGCTTTTTTCTGTCTTGGTTTTATAATAACTACTTGTACCAATTTGTAAGGGATTAGTATGAAGAAAGTGATCAGTTCTCAAGAAACCAACGAAAGAGTAACTTTCAGCATTTGTGCAAAATAAACTAATTTCTGGAATTGAAACTCTGTAAAGTTTTAAAAATCTTGTTTAAACAGAACGGGGTAGAATTTCAGAAGCAGTGTTTTGAACATCATCCCTTTTTTCCTATTAAATCCATTCTCATTTTTCTGTGACAAGCATTTTTATGTGGTCATTTATTTTCACTAATTCTCCCCCTTTAACTCTTAGGATTTTTCTGTGGTTTCAATGTTTATGCCCTCTCCAAAATTCATGTTGAAACTTAATCCTGAATGCAACAGTATTAAGTGGTGGGGCTTTTAGGAGGTGATTAGGCTGTGAGGGCTCTGCCCTCATGGATGGAATTAGTGCCTTCTATAAGGGCTGGAGAGAACTAACAGGGCCCTTTTATAAGGCACTAATTCCATCCATGAGGGCATAGCCTCACAGCCTAATCACCTCCTAAAAGCCCCACCACCTAATACTTGAAGATGCAGTAACAGGTGCCATCTTGGAAGCAGGGACCGGATCCTCACCAGGCACTGAACCTGCTGATGCCTTGATCTTAGACTTCTTAGCCTCCACAACTGTGTGAGAAATTTCTATTTTTTATAAATTAACTGTCTCAAGTGTCTTTTGTTTGTTTGTTTGTTTTTATTTGTTGTTTGTTTTTGTACAGCAGCACAAATGAACTAAGAGAGCTTTCTTTATTATTTGCAAGTATTTTCTGTGCCCTACACAATTTTCCCATCTCCCTTTTTTGGGAGGTGAGTAGATGGACAGGCATTGTCATTTCTGCTCAGAAGTCTTTCCAGGGTACACCAAGTGTTGAAGTAAAAATATAGTTGACAGTTTTCCTGTTTTTCTTAAAAGGATAAAAATTCACCAGTTCTTCCTCTACTTCCATACGTCCATCCAAGATGCCTTTCTTCTCTTTGTTATTCTGCCTCCCAGATGTGAAAATACAGTGCTGTTGACCCAAGTGCTCCTGTAGTCTTCTTGGGAAGTTTGGTTGTAAAATGAGTCTGTAACATCTCACTGCTCTTTTGCTTTTTGTCACTAATAGGCATAAAGTTTAGTTTTCTACGTGTAAACTCTACTTTTCCAAATGTATAACTCATCCCTTAAAAGTACCTGTAACAGGCATTCAGAAATTGCCTGGCGGAAATAAATATAAGAGAGCTTTAGGTTTGCCCTTAGCATATAAATTAGTTATGTCATTGTACTTCAGTAAATGGGGATGAGAATCTTGAGGATAAATGAAGATTGTGTAACCAACTCTTTGTGTTCTGTCCTCCATAACTTAAGCAGGGGTGGGGTTATTAGACAACAATTGCATAAATATATTGAAGTTATCAAAGGACATATGCTACTGTTTACAGTTGTTTCTTATTTGGAGAAGTAATGGAAGCCTGTCATTTGATGATTTTTCAGACTCTCATGGTAAACTATCCAGGCACATAAAAGGCACTCATTTGTATTTTCTTAAATAAAGTACTGCGTTGTAAATATATTCTTCCCATAGAGTGGATGACTGTCACATAAGAGTGTAACCTAACTGGGAGTCATAATAGATGTCTTCTTTTGGTGATCACCCATGCTATCATTAGGGTTTTGGAACTGATCTGTTTCTGCAACTCTGCCTTAGAATTTAGTGCAGTTGTTAAATTGAGCCTGTTGTTTTTAATCTCTGTGTCTGTACAGGTTATAGATATCTGTTGTCTCTCAGAACTGTCAGTGCTGAAGAAATGGAGAAAGCAGAGATAAAACATTCAAACACCCCCTCCCAAGCTCATCTTGTGGCAGTATAATTTGGGTGCCTTCTGTGTTGGCAGTAGTTATAAGAATTGGAACAACTGAAACTATGAAGTTGACAGTGAAAAAGTGCCTTTCCTGAAAATGTTAACAATTTATATTTTAGTTCATAATATTTTCAAAAAATTGCTCTCATGTTAGTCTTTTTAAGAAAGTTTAACTTTTATTATATACAGTAAAATTGAGCTTTTTGAGGTGTATAGTTCTGTGAGTTTTAATACATGTATAGATCTGTATTACCACTACAGTCAAGATTTGCAATGGTTCTATCATCCCACCCCCGCCAAAAACTGTGTTGTCATACATTCCCCTAACCCAGGTAACTGCTAACAAGTTCTTCATCACTATAGGTTTGCATGTAAATGCAATTCTAGAATATGTTGCCTTTTGAGACTGGCTTCTTTCACAAAATAGAATGCCTTTAAGATGCATACAATTTGTTGAATGAAATGCTAGTTCATTCCTTTTTATTGCTGAGCAGTATTTCATTATATGATTGAATGTACCATAGTTTTTGTTTTGATGAGGAGCAGAATATAAATTTGTTCTTTTCATGTACTATTTTTTTTTTGCATGAGGATAATGCTGGATTCATAAAATGATTTGGGAAGTGTTCATCTTCCATTTTCTGGAAGAGATTGTGTTGATTTGGTGTTATTTCTCCTTTAAATATTTCTTAGAATTCACCAGGGAAATTATGTGGGCCTCGAGGTTTCTTTTTTGGAAGGCTTTTAACTACAAATTCAATTTCTTCAAATAGTCCTAAGGCTATTCAGGCTATCTACATCATCAGTCTGGCAAGAGGTTTAAATTTTATTGATCTTTTCAAAGAATGAGCTTTTGGTCTCATTGATTTTTATCTGTTTTTCTGTTTCCAATTTCATTGATTTCTGTTCCTTTATTTTCTTCCTTCTGCCAGTTTTGTATATACTTTGCTCCTTTTTTAGTTTAAGGTGCAAGTTTAAATTACTGATTTGAGACCTTTTCTGATAGAAGAAATTTAATACTATAGTGCTTTTGCTACATCTCACATATTTTAAATATGGATATGTTTGGGTTCAAGTCTATTTTCTGTTTGTTCCCTCTGTTTTTGTTCCTCTGTAACTTCCTTCTTTGGGTTATTTGAACATTTTTTTAGTATTCCATTTTAACTGGCCAACTTGGACTGATTTGAAGGGAACTGGGTATAGTAGTTACCCCTTTTCCATGTGGGATATATTTCAAGTAGATGCCTGAAACTACAGATAGTACCAAACTCTATGTCTATCATGTTTTTTCCTATATGTACATACTCATGATAAAGTTTAACTTATAAATTAGGTGCAGAAAAGATTAACAATAACAAATAATAGAACAATTATAACAATATACTGTAATAAAAGTTATGTGAATGTGGGCTCTCTGAAAATATCTTACTGTACTTTACTCACCCTTCTTGAAATGAAGGTGGAACGACACAAGACGTTGACTAATGTTTTTAGTGGTAGCTCTAAGAATTATACATACTTAAAATTTTAGTCTACTTAGAATTGATATTTTACCACTTGAAGTGAAATAGAGGTCTTACCACCATGTATGTCCCTTTACCTTTCCCCCTTTATGTTGCAGTTATCTTGTGTTAAATGTACACATATAGGCATACCTCTTTTTATTGCAGTTCAGTTTATTGTGTTTTGTAGATACTGCATATTTTACAAATTGAAGATTGTGGCAATTCTGCATCAAGCAGGTTTGCCACCGTTTTTCCAACAACTTGTGTTTACTTCATGTTTCTTTCACATTTTGGTAATTCTCACAGTATTTCAAATATCTTTGTTATTATTATATCTGTTGTGATATGTGATCAGTGATCTTTAGTGTTATTATTGTAATTATTTTGGGGCACCACGAAGAGCGCCCATATAAGACAGGTAACTTATGTTTGCCTGTGTGCTGACTGCTCCACTGACCAGCTGTTCTCTCATCTCTCCCCTTCTCCTTGGACCTCCCTGTTTCTCAACAGTATTGAAATTAGACCAAACAGCCTTGTCACTGATATGAAGAAAGTTTGCCTGATCTGGGTAGAAGGTCAAACCAGTCGTAACATTCTCTTAACTCAAAGCCTAATCCAGAGCGCGTCTCTAACGCTCTTCAAGCCAGTGAAGTCTGAGAGGGATAAGGAAGCTGCAGAAGAAAAGTTTGAAGCTAGCAGAGGTTGGTTCATGAAGTTTAAGGAAAGAAGCCATCTCCATAACATAAAAGTGCAAGGCGAAGCAGCAAGTGGTGATGCGGAAGCTGCATCAGGTTATCCAGAAGACCTAGCTAACATCATTGATGAAAGTGGCTATACTAAACAAAAGATTTTTAATGCAGATGAGCCAGCCTTCTATTGAAAGTAGATGCCATCCAGGACTTTCATAAGTAGAGAGGAGAAGTCAATGCCTGGCTTCAAAGCTTCCAAGGACAGGCTGACTGTCTTGTTAGGGGCTAATGCAGCTGGTGACTATAAATTTATAAACCAGTGCTCACTGACCGTTCTGAAAATTCCAGGACTCTTAAGAATTATACTGAATCTACTCTGTGCTCTATAAATGGAACAACAAAGCTTGGATGACAGCACATCCGTTTACAGCATGGTTTACTGAATATTTTGAGCTCACTGTTGAGACCAAATGCTCAGATAAAAAGATTCCTTTCAACATAGTACTTACTTATTGACAGTGCACGTAGCCATCCAAGAACTCTGATGGAAATACACGGAGATAAATGTTGCCATGCCTGCTAACACAACATCCATTTTTCAACCCAGTGATCAAGAAGTAATTTTGACTGTTAAGTCTTATTCTGTTAGAAATACATTTCATAAGGCTACAGCTGCTTCAGACAGTGATTTCTTGGATGGATATGGGCAAAGTAATGGAAAGGATTCACCATTCTAGATGCCATAAAGAACATTCGTAATTCATAGAAGGAGGTTAAAATATGAACAGGATTGTGAAGAAGTTGATTCCAACCCTCATGGATGACTTTTAGGGATTCAAAACTTGTGTGGAGGAAGTAACTATTACAGGTGTGGTATAAACAGCAGGAGAACTATTATAGAATTAGAAGTGGAGCCTGAAGACATGACTGAATTGCTGCAATTTTATGATAAATTTTGAATGAAGAGTTGTTTCTTAGGGATGAACAAAGAATGTGGTTTCTTGAGATGGAATGTGCTCTTGCTGAAGATGTGAACATTGTTAAAATAGTATATAAACTTAGTTGATAACACAGTGGCAGAGTTTGAGAGGATTAACTCCAATTTTGAAAGACATTCTGCTGTGGATAAAATGCTGTCAAATAGCATCTTGTACACAGAGAAATTTTTTGTGAAAGGAGTGTCAGTGTGGCATACTTGAATGTTATCTCATTTTAAGGAATTGCCACAGCCAACCCTGCCCTTCAGCAACTACCATCCTGTGATTAGTCAGCAACCATCAACATCAAAGCAAGACCCTCCACCATCAAAAAGATTATGACTTGCTGAAGCCTTGCTGAGATGATTGTTAGCATTTTTAGCAATAAGGTATTTTTAAATCAAGTATGTACAGTTTTTAGACATAATGCTGTTGCACACTTCATGGACTACAGTATAATATAAACATATATACTAGGAAACCAAAAATTTTGTGTGACTTGCTTTATTGCAATATTGTTTTATTACTCCGGTCTGGACCTAGACCCATGATGTCTTTGAGGTATATATGCCTGTATTGGAAATCTTATCAGAAAGTGTTATAAATATTTGCTTTAATGCCAAACCTATTTTAAAGAATTCAAGATGAGAATAGTTAACTATGTTTGCTCAGGCATTTACTGTTTCTGTTGATCTTCCATCATTCCTAACATTGTTTTTCTTCTGACACAACTTCATTTAAGAATTTTTTTAGAGCTGGAAAAGAATTCTCATCATTTTTCTTCCACTTTGAATACCTTTTGTTTCACATTCATTCCTGAAGGATATTTTCACTAGATAGAGGATTTTAGGTTTACAGTTCTTTTCCATTTTAGCATTTGAAGGATGTTGTTCCCCTTTCTTCTGACTTGCATGGTTTCTGATAAGAAATCACCGGTGATTCAAATCATTAAACTCCCTCCCCCTCGTAAGTAATGCATCATTGTTTTTTCTGGGTGCTTTCAAGGTTTTCCTTTGTAACTTTCAGTAGCTTGACTCTGATGTGTGTCCAGGCATGGATTTCATTGGGATTATTCTGTCTGAGGTTTTGAGAACTTCTTAAATGTAGCAGTTTATGCCTTTCACCAAATTTCAGGAAGTTTCCACCCATTATTTCTTCTTCTTCTTCTTTTTCTTCTTCTTTCTACTTTCTTTTTTCTTCTTTTCTGCAGTGATTTTCCTTTTCTTGCATTCTTGATGTGAATGTTGGGTTTTTGGTACTGCCTCACAGGTCCCTAAGCCTTTAATATTTTTTTTTCAATGTTTTTCTCTTTGTTTTTTAGGTTGGGTAATTTCTAGTGGTTTATCTTCAAGTTTACTGACTCTTTACTCTTTTATTTCCATTCTTCTGTTGAGTCTATTCAGTGTATTTTTATTTCCGTTTTCACTTTTTGTTGGTTTCCATTTGGTTGTTCTTTATGTCTTCTGTTTGTTTGCTGTGATCTTTTGGCTTTCCATTTGTTTCAAAAGTATTTGCTTATACTTGTTGGGATATATCTATATATCTATATCTATATATCTATATATCTATATATATATCTATATATCTATATCTATATATCTATATATCTATATATATATCTATATATCTATATATATATCTATATATATCTATATATCTATATATATATCTATATATATATATATCTATATATATATCTATATATATATATATCGATATATATATATATACTGGCTTTAAATCTTTGTCTGCTTGTTAGGTAATTCATTTTAGATAATTCACCCAGCTGTATCATCTTGGTGGTGTTTTCTTTTAATTGTCTTTTCCCATGAGAGTGTTATTTTTCCCACCTCTCTCTATGCCAAGTAATTTTGGATTGTGTTCTGTACATTTTGAATATTATGTTACAAAACTTTGTCTTTTGTTTAAATGCTATGGAAAATGTTGATGTTTTTGTTTTTGTTTTTTGGATTTTTTTTTTTTTTTTTTTTTTAAGAGACAGGGTTTTGCTGTCGCATCCAGGCTGAAGTGCATGGCATGATTGTACTTTCCTTCATCCTTCAACTCCTGGGCTCAAGGGATCCTCCTGCCCCAGTCACCTGATTAGCTGGGACTACAGTGACACACCACTATGCTTGGCTACTTTATTTTCTATTTTTTGTAGAGAGAGGATCTCACTTTGTTGCCCAGACTGGTCTCTAACTACTAGCTTTAAGCAGTCCTCCCATCTTGACCTCTTAAAGTGCTGGGATTACATGCTTGAGTCACTGTGCCCAGCCAATATTTTTATTTTTACAGGCAGTTGATCCAGTTGGGTTCAGGTTGGTCACAAGTTCCAATTAGCTTTCTGTAGGTTGTAGTTTTTTAACTTCAGTTCTGTTTTCAAAACTTTACATTACTATTTATACTTTTTCAATATGCGCTACCCAGTAGCCAGTCTGTGACATGTGTGGAGGTTTATCTTATATTTCAGTTTTCAGAGTCGGTGGTATGCTGCTTGGGTTTAAATCCACATACGTTCAGCTTGGGTGAGTTAGGAGTTCAAAAACAGCTGTTACTTTCTTGAGTTCTTTTCTCTCTGTTATATCCATGGTATTTTCTAGATCCCTGGGACAGTCTTTTCTGTCTTTTGGCCAGAAAATTGGTTTTCATTTACTCCATTTTCTGTAACTGTGTCTGGATCCAAGTAACAGGAAGACAGAAGTCAACAAGATTGGCCCAGAGTTTTTTTATTTGGTGAGGATGGTTCATCTCTCTCTTTTCTTAAGAGTTTTAGGTTCCTGCTGCTGCCACTGTTGCACCCACTACCATCACCAGATCATTTGGGAATTGGGACATGAGGAACAGAGAAAGGGGGAAAACAAAAAAAAAGGAGCAGTTTCCCCCTCTCTTTCTGAACATTAGGAAGGAGACACTCCTTACCCCCAGCTCCCCTCCCCCTTACCCACCTCACTTTATATTTAGAGGGATTCTCTTAGAGCTTGCTCTCTGTTGTTACCAGTGCCTACTTTCTAGGTTTCAGGCTTTATTAATCCCAGGCCAGGGGATTCTGGATGGAGAAAAGGTGGTAAACTTACTGACAGTTTGATGATGCATCAGATTCTGGTGTCTTCTCTAGTCCATATGCTATTATTTACTCCTGAGTCTTCATATAGCTGCTCCATTCATTCTGTCAGTATTTTGTAGTTTCATTCAGTGAGATTAACAAGGTGGGATGTGTTTATTCCATCTTACCTGGAACTGGAACTCCTTGATCTCACTTTTGATATATTTTGGAATGTAATGCCAACTTTAATCACCTCATATTCATGTTAAATACAGTTTGAGAATTATATTTTATAATTTTTTTCAACATGTAGGTGACCTTGCTGCATGCAACAGTACAATTTCTGTTAAGGAGATGATGCTACATTAAATGAAGAAGGAAGCAGGAAAATTAATTCTTTTTTTAGAACACTTGATGAACTTTCTAAATAAATGTATTAGCTTTGAAAAACTTGTCCTATTTTCAATTCAGTCTTCATTGTCTGGCTGACGATTTCTGGCTTGCCTTTCACTTTGAAAGTGTTTTATTCTTTATTCATTTTACTCTTTAGAAAATGATTTGTTTCAATAATTAGGTTTTTGATCATTGTAGAGCATAGTGTGAGGTGACATGCATCATTATGGATTATTTTGGCACTCGCTTCCACACTGCACGAGAATTTTAGAGACGTTCTGAAACATATCCTTACTTTCTGGATTGATATAGGAAACTGATTTTATTAAAAGACCTGTAAATGTGGGTGACTTCAGCTTCTTAATTTTCCATTTATCTGGTAAGCACAAGATAATAGGATAATTTGTTCATCAGTGAATGGTGCTTGGTCCTTTTCTTAACATAGGTCCACAGTGGAGGAAGTGAATATGAAAGATTCCTAGAAATTGCTTTTGTTGATCAACTGCTAACAAGCAATCAGGTCACTGATAATCTTCTTAGAAACTGAACTAGAAACTAATTCTGGGGACTGGTATGCCCTTGGCATAAGTGTGCCCAACATAGAGACTGCTTCTACTTTCCCTTTTATTCACCTCTGTCTCTCATTTATCATATCAGTGCTCATCCATAGTAGGGTCTGTCATGGCAGGATTGGGCTTGGGAGTAGGATTGGTAATAGTGTGATATTTCCTCGTGGCCATTTATATCCCTCTTCTTTCTGTGTAACCAGAGAATCTGATTTTACCTTTTTGACAAAATATCACTAGAAGG
Organism: Homo sapiens; assembly: GCF_000001405.40. Classification (NCBI taxonomy): domain Eukaryota; kingdom Metazoa; phylum Chordata; class Mammalia; order Primates; family Hominidae; genus Homo; species Homo sapiens. The sequence goes on along the minus strand of NC_000012.12, from coordinate 45,970,329 downwards.
CTGGGCACAGTGGCACATGCTTGTAATCCCGGCATTTTAGGAGACCAAGGTGGGAAGATTGCTTGAGGTCTGGAATTTGAGACCAGCCTGGGCAACAGAGTGAGACTCCATCTCTACAAATAAAAAAATTAGTTGAGGCCGGGCGCGGTGGCTCATGCCTGTAATCCCAGCACTTTGGGAGGCCAAGGCGGGTGGATCACGAGGTCAGGAGTTCAAGACCAGCCTGGCCAAGATGGTGAAACCCCGTCTCTCCTAAAAATACAAAAATTAGCTGGGCGTGGTGGCGGGCACCTGTAATCCCAGCTACTCAGGAGGCTGAGGCAGAGAATTGCTTGAACTTGGGAAGCGGAGGTTGCGGTGAGCTGAGATGCGCCACTGCACTCCAGCCTGGGCGACAGAGCGAGACTCCGTCTTAAGAAAAAAAAAATGGTTGAATGTGGTGGTGTGCACCTGCAGTCCTAGCTACTTGAGAGGCTGAGGCAGGAGGATTGCTTGAGCCCAGGAATTCAAGGCTGCAGTGAGCTGTAATTGTGCCACCACGCTCCAGCCTGGACGACAGAGCAAGACTGTTTCTCTTAAAACAAACACACACACTCACACTCTAATAGGAGACTTGATCAATTTAGTTGTTATTTAGTAATGTTGATTTATCTTTTTTTAGTCCTTGCATTTGCTTTAGGGAAAACAAAGAAAGTGGCAAGCAACAGTTTTATTACTATTTCCTATTTCTCTGTTGTTTCTGACAATAAGAATAATAATGATCTTGATAACAGCCATTTATTGAATGATGGTAGAGTTAGGATTTGAATCTAGACCTGTTGGATTCTAAAGTTTGTAGTATTAACCAGGATGTAGGTATCTTTAGATACCATGGGCTTACTTGAAGAGAACAGCAAGAGCAAGGAGGGAGAGGGAGTTTTGAAGTGAACTGGAAGGGAAAGGAGCTCTGTTTTGTAACAGCAGAAAGAAACAGACTTTGGAAGAAAAAAAATAGAAGGAAAGAAGGGTAGTAATTTGAAACCAAACCAGACTAGGCTAAAGAATAGTTTACATTATTAGGAACCCTGGCTACTTCTGATTCCCCGCGGCTTGAGGTACCCAGCAACTGTTAAAATGGAATGTACATTCTTAGCATCCCAAATATAACTTGAAACAGGTTTTTAACAGTTGTGCTCTACAGTAGCAGTGCAGCTATTAAATATATTTTTAAATAGCTGTACAGTAGCACATTGGGCTATTTAAATTAACTAAAACTTCACAAAAATTTAAAATTTAGTTTCTCACATGCACTGTCCACACTTGAAGTGCTTGATAGAAGAATTCCCTGTTGGGCAGCACTATTCTAGAGAACCGAAATGACTTAATACAGACCGTTTTTGTTTTTTGCGTTTTTGGGTGTTCTTTAAGATGGAGTCTCGCTCTGTCGCCCAGGCTGGAGTGCCATGGCATGATCTCGGCTCTCTGCAACCTCCACCTCCTGGGTTCAAGCAATTCTCCTGCCTCAGCCTGTAGCTGGGATTACACCACGCCCGGCTAATTTTTTGTATTTTTAGTAGCGACGGGGTTTCACCGTGTTGGTCAGGCTAGTCTCAACCTCCTGACTTCAAGTGGTCCGCCTGCCTCAGCCTCCCAAAGTGCTGGGATTACAGGTGTGAGCCACTGTGCCCTGCGTCACTACCATTATTTGAATGCAGTGTAGTGGCTGGCCTAGGACACTCATTTCCATGTATTCTACTATGGGAAAATGAGTTTTGAGTTCCTAAAAACTGATTTTTATCAGTGCTTTTTTTTTTAAATTTTAAATTCCAAGCTTTAATACCTTCTTATATGATAAATAAAATTTAAAACTTAGACCATTCTTCCCCAATTATTATATGAACATATTTGGAGTATCACTTTCAGTATCTAGCAGAAACAATATGTTATGAAATGGAAAAGAGCAACTGGACGATAGAAGTATGTTAGATCATTATATTAGGGGTCACAGACTAAAAAGATATTTTAGCTTGGAAAGATAAAGCCTAGGAGGAAACATTAAAGATTGACATTTGTAAATTAAAATAATCAGAAAAGCAAAGTTTACTGAAAATCTAGAATTAACATCCATTTAGTAAATGTAGAACCAATAAAAGAAAATACAATTTGACTTATAGATAATTAACTTACAGAACTTAGTAGAACTAATAAGTAGTATAGGTAGAATATAACATGATTATAAAGCCATAAATAGTTAATAACACAAAATTGAGATATATCTAACTTTTCAGGTAACTACAAGGAAGGGTAGTCCTACCTACCCACATCTTACCTCTTAGGGCTATTGACCACAAATTACTGGCTAGGACTATGACTCTGTGTGGTATTACTGTGTTCCTGTCACTGGATATTCAAAGCAAAGCTTTTATTCAAAAATACTTGTGGATCCTTGGATTGAAAACTGGAGTCCAGGCAGATAGAACAGATAAACAGGACAAGTTACAAGTTTATAAGTTGTTGAACTGAGACTTAGGACTTTCATCTAGCAAAATGCTAAGTTCCTGTCATTTTAAATGACTAAATTAGTAACATGGCATAATCATTTTCAGGTATAAAAACAGTTAATAGAGGACATGTTAAGGAATAAAGCATGCAACTTCTAAAACTTTGGAATGCTTAAACAGTTTTTAAAGCAGATTTCTTTCTTTTTGAGATGGAGCCTCACTCTGTTGCCCAGGCTGGAGTGCAGTGGCGCAATCTCGATTCACTGCAACCTCCGCCTCCTGGGTTCAAGCAATTCTCCTGCCTCACCCTCCCTTGTAGCTGGCATTATAGGTGCCTGCTACCACACCCAGCTAATTTTTGTATTTTTAGTAGAGACAAGGTTTCGCCATGTTGGCCAGGCTGGTCTCGAACTCCTGATCTCAGACGCTCCTCCCGCCTCAGCCTCCCAAAGTGCTGGGATTACTTGCGTGAGCCACCGGCACCTGGCCATTAAGGCAGATTTCTAACAAAGGCAGTGTGTAACTTGATTGAGGTTTCTCAGTTTCTCATGTATATTTCACTATATGGGTCTTAAAATAGAGAAGACAGTGCTTACTATAAAATATTAATTGTAGGTTGTTTTTTTTTTAACAGGGTCTTGCTGTGTTGCCCAGGCTGGTCTTGAACTTCTTGGGCTCAAGCGATCCTCCCACCTCGGCCTCCTAAGTAGCTAGGATTATAGGCATATACCAATGCACCCCACTTTAAAATATAAATTATAAATTATATATCAGGTTAGTTTGCTTAAAGGAGGAAATGTGAAAATAGCATAGGTTAGACTATTAAATAGGACAAATAAATCATTGCGTTACATAAAGGGATAATATATTACATCTGAACATCTCTTAGGTTTTTAAAATACTGTGTTAACTTTCAAATGACATTTTATCACATTGAGTTAACTCCAACCTTAATATTTTTTTATTCTCAGATATTTAGGATAATGAAGGAGATAGTATGGTATGAATTTCCCCAAATAAAAAATAATAATATACAGCAGTGCAATATAACTCTGTCCTCATCTACTTTTCTTCTTTCACTGTATTCCAGTCATTCATCTCTTTGTTGTTGTTCCTTGAACATACCAGACATGCCTTAGGACTTTCATATTGGCTATTCTCTCTGCCAAGAATGCTTAGCCTGGAAGCACTGGATGATATTCACATAACTGTCTCCCTTGCTGCTTTCTGATTGCCAGTTCAAATGTCCCTTTATCACAGAAGCTTTCCCTCAGTATTCTGTATGAAACAACAGCTTCCTCTTTTTTTATTCCTTAATAGCCACACTGTTTTTAATTTTTCTCCATAGCACTTCTCAACGTCTAACATACTAGATATTTTACTTACTATTTTGTTTATTTTGTCTTCCCCACTAGAACATAAAGGTAGAGATTTCTGCCTTGTTCAGTACTAAGAGAATTGCCTAGTATACCTATAGTATTCTATAAATCTTGGAGCTAAAAAAAAAAAAATCCCACAAAAGATCACTGGGCCTTTGCTTGAATACTTTCATTGATAGATTATTCTACCTCCCTTCAGAACAGTTCATTTTATTTGAAGATAATTGCTAATGTTCTTAAGCTTTCTGTTCTTCCAAGCTAAACATTCTTACTAGTTTACCTTTCTGCATATGATAGGGTTTCCAGGGCTGTCACCATTTTAGTCATCTTCCCTGGACATTCATCATTATGTTGTTTGTCCTTAAATACCAGAACTAAAACAAGTTAGTTTGCACCAGAACTAAAACTAATGTTGCACACATAGGCTAAGAGTGGGAAATATTCCTCATCCAACTTTTATTGTCAGATTGATTGGATTAAAAAAAGTTTTTAGATTCTAATGCTGATTCATTTTGAGGTTGTATTTGATCTGCTACAACCTTTAAATCATTCTTACATATGCTACTAAGTTTCTTCTGCTTTTATGGTTAGTTTTTGAACTATAAGTCTGGGACTTTGTATTTCTCCTTATTTAACCAAATAGGGAATTTTCCTGGGGAGTTCATACCTTTAATGTAGAAACTACCATGTGTAAATTATTTTAGAAATTAATAGAAAAACCCATTCAGATACATATAGGAGAATCACAACTGATAAAATCAAGGATTTCTTGTGCGTAGATATAAATGCATATTTGGACATTTCATTGCAATTATGTCTTGCATCAGTTCAGGAAGGAATATTAAGAGTTGATTTAAGGCCAGGTGCAGTGGCTTATGCCTGTAATTCCAGCATTTTGGGAGGTGGAGGCAGGAGGATCGCTTGAGCCCAGGAGTTGGAGACCAGCCTGGGAAACACAGCAAGACCCCATCTCTTAGGAAAAAAAGTTGATTAAAATAAAATGTTACTGTATGAATTTCTTGCCTTTGCCATATTAACATCCTTTCCCACTTTTCTCATTTTTACCTTTTTATAAGCACCATTTTCCTAGTCTTTTAGGCCAGGATATTGTCTCCTTCACTGTAGTTGCTCACCAAATCTCAGAATTTCTGCAGCCTTTTAATTCCGTGCTTTTCAAATATACTTCACAGCCAGTTACTTTAGCTATGCAAATATCTCTGCTTATAATCTCCTTCCATTGTAATTCAATCCATACTTGGCTGGCGTATCTATCTTTTTTAAAAAAATTCACTTATATCACTTTTATCTTGTCACTCTTCTTCATAGAATTTGTAAGATTGAATCTAAGGTTCTCAGTCAATCATTAGCGATCCATCTATAATCTAGCCATACTTGATTTACATTGCTCTGCTTATTTCTTATTACCTCTCACTGTGATTTTTCAGATAAAATTCATGGCTTACATGCCAACCCCCTCCTCAGTAGAGACACACACATACACACACACAACTGTCTCCTTAGTAGACACACACACACACACACTTTCACCCACTGTTTTCTCTCACCCGCTCAATTGTGAGATTGGCCTAGCTAAATGTTATTGTATTTCTCCATACTGTGTTGCTCCTTGAATGCCTGAAGTTCCTCAACACATCTAACCTATCACATTCTCTGAAAACTCTATTCCAAATTGATCTCTGTTCCTTAAGCTTCAATTGCATTTATGTCTGTGCCACAAAATATATCATTTAGGCTTTGTTGCTTAATAGTTATAAAAGGCTTTTCCTTTCCGTTTTTTTTTTTTGAGACAGAGTCTCACTGTGTCCCCCAGGCTGGAGTGCAGTGGCGCGATCTGGGCTCACTGCAAGCTTTGCCTCCCAGGTTCACGCCATTCTCCTGCCTCAACCTCCCGAGCAGCTGGGACTACAGGCACCTGCCACCACGCCCGGCTAATTTTTTGTGTTTTTAGTAGAGACAGGGTTTCACCGTGTTAGCCAGGATGGTCTCGATCTCCTGAACTTGTGATCCGCCCGCCTCGGCCTCCCAAAGTGCTGGGATTACAGGCGTGAGCCACCGTGCACGGCCAAGGCTTTTCCGTTCAATAAGACTGTGCATTTTGATAGCAAGGAGTATAAAAGAGTACTGGATTATCCACAAACTGGCTTGGCTCGTACTGTGTTCTTTTATGTGTAAAATAATTTCTTACAGTTTAGGATTTTTTTTTAATTGATATTATTGGGAGAAGGCAAACATAAAATTCTCTATTATAATTTATCTTATAGGAAACCCTTTTCCAAAGAGAAATGAAGAAGAAAACTGTATGTACCCTAAATATGGGAGATAAGAAGTATGAAGACATGGAAGGTAACTTTTCATTTTTATAAAGTTTGTTTGTTGAAAGCAAAACAGTTGTTTCCAAACTGTCCACTTGTATACATTTCAGAATACACAGGAGTTTTTTGTTATTGTTGTTCTTAAATTCCAAAATAAGCTGCCTAAGTATACACATTTTTTTCTTCCCATATCTTATTTTCGACTGATCAAGTTTTTTGATTTGTTAAATTGTTTACTTTTCCCTTTTTTCTTAAAGGTTTACTCTCTACTGGTTTAGGAATTACTGTTTATGTTTTTGTCCCTGTCTTTTTAAAAAAGAAAAAAAGTTAGCGTTGGTACTGTCCTCTGCTTCTAAAGCTAATTTAATTTTCACTACCAACAGAAGAAGAACCCAAGAATGCTTTAACTCTGATCATCCTAATCTCAATGTATAGGTTATAGTTCCATTATTTGAGTTCTTTTATTTCAGACACCACCAGTTAGATGATGTTTTATGCAATGTTTGCTTGAGTTTATTTCCTCTTCATTTATTTTCTTTCTGAAAATAAATCTGAGAAGTTTCTTTAGTGAAGGTCTATTGGTGGTAAACTCTGAATTTTTTTAATCTATTTTATCCACTTTAAAACTATTCAAAGATAGTTTTACTGGGTATATAATTCTGAAATGATAGTTTTTTTTTCTCTTAGCACTTTGAAGATATTACTCATTTTTTTTCCCTTGCTGTCTGGAGATTTCTTCCCAGTCTAATTATCATTCTCTTTTGTAGGTGATCTGTCTTTTCCAATTTTCTGCTTTTAAGGTCTTGGTTTCGTCTTTGATATTTTACAGTTTTACTCCATTGTTTCTAGGCATGGATTATTTTTATTTCTCTTAACAGTATGCATTGTGTTTCCTTTGTTGGTTCATGTGTTTAATCATTTCCCGACCATTACCTCTTTGTTGCCTTTCCTTTATTCTCTTTTGGATTTCAATTAGTATGTTAGACCGTTCTGTAACCTCATTTCTTAACCTGTTTCACAGGCTATGTCTTATATTTCCTTTTCTGTCTCCTAGAGTCTAGCTGGTTTCCTCAGATTTGTCTTCCAATTCACAAGTATTTTTCTTGGATCTAATCTGCTGATTGTCCATTTTATGTGGTATTTGAAACTTCTGATATTTGAAGTTAGTGGATTTCTAAATGTGTTTCCTGCTGCTTCTCACTCAAGACAGCTTATTTTCTTAGGTTTGGTAATGTTTGATTATGAGCTTACATTTGATAAATTAAATCTATGAGGGCCTAATTTAGGTATTCTTTCCTCCAGAGGATTTGTATTTGTTTCTTCCCAGGCCCATGCTGGGACCTCTTTAGCCCCATTTAAAAGTCTTGGCTTGATACTGGAGTCTATCAGGATTAGTTTTCCTTCCTGAAGCGGTTCTAAGGCTTAGTCTCCAGATCTAAACACTGGTTTGGACAGTTGTGCCCAGGACAGTTCCAACTTTGCTTGATATTACTGTTCACATTTCAGCTGACCAATCCTTTATTTCTGTTTTATTTTTATGTTGAATTTCAGAGTATCTATTATTTTCTTATGAGCCAGCGATGCATACTTTTGTATGAGTTGGTTACATTACTGGTGGGAGTTTAAAGTAGTACAAATCCTAAGGAGAATAATTTGTTAATACCTATTCATAATACAAATGTATACACACATTACTCTAGCAGTTCCATTTTTAGGAACTTACACTACAGATATACTTTTAAAAATGTGAAATAACTAAATTTTTATTGCAACATTGTCATAGCCAAAAGTTGAAAACATGTGAATGTCCATCAATAGATTTGAATAAAGAAAAAAGCAGACTAGTGTGTATAGTATTCTTGCATTTGTGTAAAGAAAGGAATGTGGAAGAGTTTGTATTAGCATTTGTTTTTCTGTACATTAAAAATTCCTAGGAAGAACACAAAAGAAATTTAACAGTTGTTACTTATTGGATTGGTTGGAACTGGATGGGGATAAATTTGAATGAGAAATTTGCTCTTAAATTTTTGATCCGTGTGAATATTACTCACTTTAAATTTAATTAATGAAAAGTTTGTTTCAGTCCCCCGTTAAAAAAATTTAAGAAAGTAAATGTTGGGCACGTTGGGCTCAAGCAGTATGTTTGCTATAATTTATCTAAGATCTATTTGCTTTATAGTAGGAGGGTCCTTTAGAGTATCTAATCCACTATACTCCTAGAAACACAAGATTTTTGGTCTGGAGAACTTGAAAGCACATATGGCTGTTTTACTTTAACAGGTGAAGAAAACGGAGATAATACTATTTCCACTGGTCTGTTGTACAGTGAGGCTGACAGATGCCCAATATGTCTTAATTGTCTATTAGAAAAGGAAGTTGGTTTTCCAGAAAGCTGTAATCATGTCTTCTGTATGACTTGTATTCTTAAATGGGCAGAGGTAAGTCTGACACATTAATGTATTTTAATTTCCTAGCATGATTTCATTTCACCTAAAGAGTTGATACTGCCTTTCATAAATTATTTCACAGTAATGTATTTTCTTCCTACTTTGGACAAATTTCCTTGTATTATTCAAATTCTGTCAGTCATTTTCTTCTAATTTTCTTTTATCAGGCTTTGATTTTGCAAATAATATTTTAAATGCATACTTTTTTAAAAAAAGTTAATAACCTTATAGGAAGAACAGATCAAACTTTTTTTCTGGTAGAAATGCAGTAATTAATTTTTCAGTGTACTTGACTCTGTGCTTAATAGGATAATATCTGTTTACCACTAATAACACCTTCTGTCTGCTTTTTGTTTTATATTTTTCAGGGACTTTTCACATAGGTTATTTGATTTCTTCTTTATATCAGCCTTGTGGAATAACCAGAGCAGATACGATAGTGTCCTTCCATTTTACAGATGAGGAAACTTGGATTTTATGTTCTATGACTTGGTCAAGATCTCATAGTTTAAGAGGCAGAAGTGAATTTAGAACTGATTTTCTAATTCCTGTTTTTAATTTAGTGTGGACTAATTTCAGAGTCTGAATTAGAGATATTACCGTCATAGACAGTGAATAAGAAACAAGACATTCGTGACTTTTAATGTATTATGTTGACTCAATTTGGGCCAAATACTTTGAAGTAAATATTAATTTAATATAAGCCTTATTGTTATGAAATGTTAAGTAAAAAATTATTGTTCATATTATGCTATATTTTCTAAGTTAATATTTGTCAGTCTGTAAAAATTAGTAAAGAAGATAATATCTTAAAAATATTTTAACATTAGCTGCATTCCAATTGTTAATGTTCTTAAATATGTTGGAATTAATTGCATATTACATAATTGGGGTTTTCAAAGCGCTATGTTTTGCTTAAATTTTCATTAATAGTGTGGAAAGGAGAATGTAACTGTATAGTGACTCTGGCTGAGTTCTCAAAAGAAGGAAGAGAAGATTTGTTATACAAATTGAATTAATAATAGTATACATATAAACTATTTTAATTTAGTAAAACCTAAACTGGTCTTTAACAAGAAGTGACAGGATAGGTGAAAATGTATTTTGGGGAAAAGTATTTTGAGTTTTGCTGAATTAATATGGTTGGTAAATCTCTCTCTGTGTAGGATCACTGTTTAATGAAATAATGCATATTTTTTTTCTGCCACCCAAATAAAGATTTTTATCTGTGTTGAATTTAGTGCACATGGTTGCTTTGTGGTTAAATTTTTTTAGAGATTTTGCTTTGGGTAAAGAAATAATATTGTTGGATGGGTGGAAGGTTTCAATACAGTGCTTTTTTATAAGATTGTATTTGGTGACCACATAATTGTGAATTTCAACAACTTAATCGGAGTATATGTTTTGCTCTAAGAAAATTATAATGTGTATGTAATAAGTAGATAATGGTTCTCCATCCTTTCTTTCAACTTCAAGTGCATCTTTCACACAACCTTTACCCTGATGTACATGTTCCAGGTTTCTCTAGGGTATGTATCTAGAGGTGGAATTACGGGTTGTAGATGATGCACATACTTAACTCTACTAGACAGTGGCAAACTTGTCTATATTTTTAACTCTTGTTGAATATTTTTAAGTTGAAAATACTGGATAACATACATGGTATGGCAGCCAACACCTTTCCCGCATGTAATATTTTTCAAATTGCTTTTCAAAAGAAAGTACTTATCTTTATGCTGCTATTATAAACTGTGATGCTGGGTAGGCAGGGAGGAGTTGTGATAGTGTTTAAACAAAGGTAATTAACCTTTAAAGGGGAGAATAAACAGAACATTCTGAATTATTTCGTTGTCCCTGATGGGGATAGCAATCATCATTTAAATAAACCTTTCAGTTGAGCAGTAACAAGAGAGCAATCTATTAATAAATTGCTTATTATAAATTATAAGTGAATGCTGGCTAAAAAAATCATGTAGACTAAGTTTTCAGTTTGAATCTTTTATTGCTGTGATAAAAATAGATATGTTTCAAAGCATGTAAGTGCTTTCACAAATAGAATCAGATTTCAAATTCAGGAGTATGTTTCTTTTTTTCATCATTATAAATTAAGCTCCATCCTCTCATTTCCCTCAGTCTTCTTCCATCTAAAAGCAAAGTTTACAGTTTACTTCGGATTTCAGGATCAGGAATAAGTGTCTTCAGCCTTCTAACAGGCCATGCCTTATGCCTAGGCTGTCATACACATTCTAACATTTAATTTCATTTAATTCACTATGTTAATATTTATTTGCTATACAAGACAAGGATTCTAAACTTACGATTTTTAAGTACGTCAAGGGATAGCCTGACGTTAAAATCTTTTTAAAAAATTGGTTTGTGGTGTACAATTTTATGCATGTTCACTTCTTTTTTTTTTTTTATTTGAGACAGAGTCTCAGTCTGTCACCCAGGCTCTAGTGCAGTGGAACCATCTCGGCTCACTGCAACTTCTGCCTCCCAGGCCAAGCGATTCTTGTGCCACAGCTCCTGAGAAATCTGCATAAGAGAACAGTACAATTTGCAGTTAGGATCATCTTTCTAGATTTCTGTATCTTTCAAAATTTCTGTGCTTTCTGAGATTTGTACCCAAGGTTCACTGAAATATGATTCAGAAGGAATATCAAGCACCAAAAAAGGACTCATTTATTTACTTTCACCTTAATATTTTAGGCATTGAACACATTCTTAAAAACACTGGTCTGTAAGAAACTGGTGTTTTGAAAAATTAAAGTGTGTCGTAGTCTAGTATATTTATTTTGGCCACATAGATCAAAGTTAGTTTCAGTCTTTTCAAGCTCTAAAATTTTGGTTCTGTGGTTATTTAAACAAAAGCTATGTAAGGACTTTAAAGTGATTAAGTAAAAAGTCTTTGGGTATGTCAGAATCCTCTTTACTTAGGGCAAAATGTTTCAGGGTGAACCTGTGGTAGCCTTCATGGCCCATAGCCTAATTGCCTGCCCTTAGGGACACTAGAACAAATTGAAATTAATCATGTCCACTATGATTATATTTAGTTTCAAGGAATTCATAGATGGTAAACCTGTTGATTTATAAAATAATGATGATTATATAGAAATAGAATATTGAACAATGACACAATAATTGACATTAAGGAAGGCTGAAATTTTTGTTAATTTAAACCATAACTGTTAGATCCAACAATCTAAAATTAATCAAAGACATTTGAACTGATGAAATGTATATAGAGCCAGTATGCTAAAGCTTATCATCTATTCAGTTAGGAAGTTATTTATTTTACCCATATTGTGGGCAAAAACAATATATACTTATTGATAGCTTTTAATATATCTGAGTTTGCATACTTTAGGAAGGTAAAGGACAGAGAAGTCTTGACACACATTGTAGTAGTGACAATTATGATTTCCTACAGACAAGATAATCTCCAACACATACAAACACACACAGGTTAAGTAAATGGGATTTATTGGCCAGGCATGATGGCTCACGCCTCTAATCCCAGCACTTTGGGAGGCCAAGGAGGGTGGATCACTCGAGCCCAGGAGTTTAAGACCAGCCTGGGCAACATGGTGAGACCTCATCTCTACTGGGAAAAAAAAAAAAAATTAGCCAGGCATGGTGGAGTATGCCTGTAGTCCCAGCTACTTGGGAAGCTGATGGGGGGAGGTTGGAGGATCACTTGAGCCTGGGAGGTCGAGACTACATTTATCTGTGATTATGCCACTGCACTTCAGCCTGGGTGACAAAATAAGACCCTATCTCAAAAAAAAGAGAGAAAGTAGGAATCATTATTTCCCACAGTTGCCGAGAAGTGATTAAAAATTTGGCCCTTAAAATAAGGTCATGGTTTGAAGACACATGTTTAAAGCATTTAAGAGTTCTTAACAATGTTTAATGGAACCTGCAGTATATGTGATGAGGATGTTCTTGATATCTGCTGGCATTCTTTTCCCTTTTACATAATATAAAATATTTCCCTTATCTTTTAAGTATTATTTTTAAAAATGTGATTAGTTTCCCATTATAAGCAGATTATTCTCCCTCCATTTTATACAAAATCACCCATTTTGTATAAAATGCCAACAGCTTCAGTATGAGAGAGTAAAGGTTAATGAAATCAAAATTCGGCAGTTGGCAAAGGCATGGTTTCTCTCCTAAACTAGAAATGAAGTGTCTTATTAAGGTGACATGCAGTTCTTGAAGAAGTCAAACAATAGTGTTCAACATAGGTGAAGGTTATATTTTTGAATTAATAATAAATACCAAAAAATCAAGATGTGAGTTCTTGACTTATATCTGGACTGCACATGTGTTTTATATACAGGTGTTTCTTTATGCAGTAGGTGGAAATTTGTCCATTCTGGTTGTTAGACTACTTTTAAGTAATATAATTCAGTAAAGCTTTATTATCTGGAATTTTCAATCAATTTTTCCTCAAATTCTAATTTTAAAAAAATTAACCAGAACTAACCCAGACACCTCTGTTATGTAGCTCTCTGTGAACGGTAATGTAAATGTACCTGTGTAGTACCACTAACATTAGTCATTTATAATTTATAAAGTATTGTCAGATACATTTTTTAAATTTATTACGCCTATGCAATAGATGATCAGGGCTCTCTCCATCTTCATCCTTAGTGTGGGTTGGAGTGATTGCTAGCTCCACAAGAACTTTAACTTGTAGCTAATTTTTTCAGATCCACCACTATTTTCACCCTGTGAATTAATCCTTTGGGAAATTTTTTAGTAGAGCAAAGAGGATTTTTGCATTGTGAACACCCATCACCTAAAGCATATATCTAAAAGAATTTAAGTACTCTGTTTACCAGTAAGGTAAATTAACATGCATTTCTTTGTGCCTAGTTTTAAATGTCAGAATATGTAAAATGATCTGTATGGGTAGTTTACTGAGTTTCTTGTTTTTACACTAGATAAAGTGTTGCCTATTGTCAGAATAAATTAAGATTACATGTAATTCTCCCCAACTGGTATCTTGGAGAACATGAAAGGATTTTAAGTAGTTTGATGAAATGTGTTCTTACTGGGGGTTAATTTTATCACTGACAGCCATTTGTCCTTTAGGGATACACTCCTGAATGCTGGTATAAAGAACCACAGTTTCACTAATATGGATTGACAAAGACTGTCTTGAAAGAACTGGTTAAATGTGATAGGGAACATGTAGGCTGACTGCAGGTGAACAATTAATTTGGAAGTACAGGTGAGGTGTCTTAGAACCATAAATGAAAAAAGATAGGTCCTGGAAAATAGCTTTAAAATAAGCATTAGCCACTAATGGTATGCATTTCTAAGTCATCTTTATTTGATTTTGAACTAGAATTTTGTATAACATGCTCTATTTTGTTAGTAGAGAGATAGATGTTCGAGATTCCCACAAACAGGCAAACCTACCTATAAACATAGGTATTGAGATTTAGTCTTTAAGCACTTGTCTTAACACTTGTTTCTCTCTCTCTAAGAGGAGCTATCTATAAGCAGCCTATGTGATTGAGGATAGAGCAGCAGGAGGAAGCGAGAAATTAGAAATCGAGGATCCTGAATTCCCAAATAAGGAAGGTTTCTTGTTCTTACATTTAAATGTGGGTTTGTCTGAGCTGAGAATTTATAATGCTTCAGAATAGTAGGGTGTGTTTTACTGAAATCATTAGGAAGATTATTTTTTTCTATCAAAATTGCCTTCTTAACTGATACAACAACCTTAGTACAGAGCATTCACAGTAAAACATATGCTCTGTTTAATACACATTACACTGTAAAGCAGTGAGCAAATTCCATTAATTTTGTAGCTGTATCATAAAGCCAATGATGTTATTAGACTACTTGGTTATGAAACTGAATTAGATACTTTAAAAATTATTGAAATGAAAGTCAGTAATTCAAACAAGTGAGTCATTGAAGGATATTTTGTTGTATATAAGGAATCAAAATGGTAAATAATTGAAGGATATTTTTATTGTATTTAAGGCAACAAAATTTGAGATAATTTTCTTCAAAATTAAAATAACTTAAAAATAGAGTAAGTATTAGTTAAAATTTCTTTACATTAGTTTAAAATGTGAACTTTTAAAACCTCACAACTTGGAAATTTAATTGTAAATTTTACTCTGAAAACTAAAAACATCTTTGAGACCTTTCTGGATAGATATCTGCTGGATATAAGAGTGAGGCATCCTTGGGAGTTCCTTAAAATTAGGCCAGTCTGGGCCGGGTGTGGTGGCTCACGCTTGTAATCCCAACACTTTGGGAGGCCGGGGTGGGCCAATCGCTTTGAGCTCAGGAGTTCGAGACCAGCCTGGGCAACATGGCAAAACCCGATCTCTACAAAAAATTAGCTGGGCATGGTGGTGCGTGCCTGTAGTCCCAACTACTTGGGAAACTGAGGTGAGGCCATCGCTTGAACCTAGGAGGTTGAGGTTGCAGTGAGCCGTGATGCCGCTGCACTACAGCCTGGGCAAGAGGGTGAGACCCTGTTTAAAAAAAAAATTATGATGGCTGAGTCTGTGTCAAAGAAAATTAACTTATTTTTTGGTGTTAACTAAATTATCTTTAGGTAATTACATTTTATATAGATTGTGATGATATATGGCAGTAGTTTTCCTATTACTACTACTTTTTTTTCTTGTTTTTCCTTTGTGTTTTTGTAATACCAGTGGAGCCTTTTCTTAAAATGAAACTAGGCAAACCTAAGACAATTATGCTTAAGGAAAAAAAAGGGGGGGAATCTTACTCAGAACTGTTTTTTGAAACGGATCAAATGGAATGGCTCAGAGCAGGTGTGATGGCTCCTCCTGTAATCCCAACACTTTGGGAGGCTGAGGTAGGAGGATCGTTTGAGCACAGGAGTTCAAGATGAAGCCTGAGCAACATAGTGAGACCCTGTCTCTATGAAAAAAGTTAAAAAAAAAAAAAAAAAAAAAAGCTAGGCACGGTGATACATGCATGTATCCCAGCTACTTGGGAGGGTAAAGTGGAAGAATTGCTTGAGCCCCAGGAGTTCAAGCCTGCAGTAAGCTGTGATCAGGTGACTGCACTCCAGCGTGGGCGACAGAGTGAAACCCTGTGTTAAAAAAAAAAAAAAAAAAGTAACAGCTTAGATTAAAACTGTCATAATTCAAAATTGTAAAGGAAGGCTGGGTACAGCAGCTCACGCCATTAACCCCTCCAAGGCAGGTTGATCGCTTAAGCCCAGGAGTCCAAGACCACCCTGGGCAACATGGTAAAACCCCATCTCTATGAAAAATACAAAAATTAGCTGGGTATGGTGGCATGCACCTGTAGTCCCAGCTACTCAGGAGGCTGACATGGGAGGATCATCTGATCTCAGTCTGGGAGGCAAAGGCCTTAGTGACCCATGATAGTGCCACTGCACTCCAGCCTGGGGGACAGAGCAAGACCCTGTCTCAAAAAATAAAAAAAATAAAGAAAAAATTGTAAAGGAAAAAATGCAATTTAGCTGATGTCAGTAGAGGAAATTTAATAAAGAAAAAATGAGATTGTATGATTTGAGAGTCTTTGAAAGATTTGATGCATCTGATACAAATTTCTTGAACACGTGACTTTCTTTGGATCTTAGTGTCACAAATCAAAATAGCTAAAATAATGAAGTACTTGGATTTCCATCTACGTCATAAACTTTGCAAATTCCAATAAAAATTGTTAAGAACTCATGTCTCTCACTTGTATATGTATCATATTGTGGTTGTCTTTTGTTAATTAACCAAGTTTTTTTGTTACTAAAACTAGTTGATTACAAGACCTTACATAATATTTAGTATATGCCACACTTTCTTCTAGGAATTATTTATTCCCATAAAAACCTTAGAGGTAAGTTATTTTTTCTCATTTTCACAAATAAGGTTACTGAGGCACAGAGAGACTGTAACTTGCTCGAGTTTATTAAAAAGATACGAAAGTAGCACAGTAAATTCATGGCCTCTATACATCTTAGTTTTTACGAAAAAACAAATTTTCATTTATTACCACATAACCTTTTTTTAATGTTTCTCTAAATTTACCTTTAAAATAGGAATAAAAAACATTTTGAAGCTTTTGTAAAAATAGGAAGCACTAGAAATATTACACTTTTAATTTTATTTATCTATGTTTCAGAGATGGGATCTCACTCTGTTGCCTAGGCTGCAGTACAGTGGTGTGATCATGGCTTACTACAGCCTCGAACTCCTAGGCTCAAGGGATCCTCCTGCCTTGGCCTCTCAAAGTGTTGGCATTACAGGCATGCACCACCATGCTCAGCCAGATTTCAACTTTTAAATATTTTTGAAAACCATAAATGTAGCATTAATATAATCTCTTAAGAAATTTCATACAGGGTATGCCACTGGGATAAACAGCAATGGTTATGATGTTAAGTTCTTCGAACTAGACAATGCATTATTAAAAAATATATGAACTTCTTTGTTGCTGAAGCAAACCTTCTTAAGGTCAAGTTTTCTATAGGGAAAGTAATAGCCTCCTAAATCCATAGTACTTAAAAGTAGGCTGAACTGGCTTCTTCCAGTCTGAACCAATTTAATATAGTAAGGTCACATTTCCTAATTCAGATGTGGTAAAGCTTTTTTCCCATTGAAGCCCACTTAAAAGAGAAAGAAAATAGTAACTCAGCCCATATTTTGGCTGCTCCCAAAGTGACTTGTGAGCTTTGTGAAAATGTGTTAAATGATCAAGGACCATACACAATCTGCTCTACTTTTACTTGTATAAGCATGTCTTGATACGTGGTAAAACCCAGAAAGGCAAAGATCACATTTTTTACATAGGAATAATATATCTAGTTTCCATTACTATCTTTGCTCTTTGAGACTATTGCTATTAGATTGTTAAAATTCCGTTTTATTTTTGTAACCATAGGTATTAATAATATCACCTTTTGGTACGCTCTTTGCAGAGTTTTCCCTCCTACCCTAATAGAAAATACATTTCATCTTAAATTCTTTAAATAATGTAAACCCATTCTTACACAAATATTTAGTAGTTTTATCAGAGAAACTCTTAGAGTTGATGCACAGGAATTTTAAAAGGACAGGAAATAAAGCAAGATAATGTTGACTTATAATCATAGTATCACTTAAGGACCAATTTCCTTAATAAATAAAGAGCACCTATAACTCAATTTGAAAAAGAGTAGCAACTTAATAAGAACCTAAGCAAAGAACTTGAATAGGCAGCTTAAAGAAAAGGAACTTTGGATAGTCCTTAAAAATAGGAAAATGTGCTCAACCTTACTCCTATAAAAGGAAATGTAAAGTAAAAAACTCTTATTCATATTATTCTGTTAAGGATAAGGCAGCTCTGAATTACTAATATGAATCAATCTTAAGTTTATATATTAAAAAGATACACATATATGCATATGCAATGGATATCCACAAAAGGTTATGTAAGAAACTGCCTCTGGAGTGGCCATCTAGGTGGCTGAGGGGAGGGGTGAAGGAGTACTTCATTTTCTTCATATCTTTCAAATGTTTTTATTGCTGGCACAACTGCCTATTTAATGTAACTAATTTGGGGGGAAAATATTAAGTCATAGAATATTAAAATTTGTGAGGAACCTTTCGGAGCCATTTGGAGTGGCCCAAGTTTAGTGTAACAGCCAGCTTTACATCACAGAACTACTGCTGTCAGCCCAACTCATCTTTCACTATACTAGTAGTTCTCAACCGGGCAGCATATCTTAATGGGATTTTAATAACAGATTCTGTCTCGTTCATCATTGTATTCCAACTATCTAGCATACAGGAGGTATTCAGTAAATGTTTGAATGAATGAAACAAATTTAAGGTATAAAAATATTTTTTTCTTTCGAAGATAGAGATAAAAATAATTTTATGGAAAATTTATAATTGTATTTATAATTTTGATCTAAAGAAACATTTGTAAAGATATAATTTGTTAATCACTTTTCAGACACTGGCTTCATGTCCTATTGACCGTAAACCTTTTCAGGCAGTGTTTAAATTCAGTGCATTGGAAGGTTATGTTAAGGTAAGTCTTTTTATTCTGCAACATGAATTATATAAAAATTAATTGAAGCTGTTTGACTTTGATTTCCAGTTTGTGTATATTTGAAAATTGTTCAACTTAAGGTTTAATATGTTATTTTAATCCTCCTTAGCATGATAAATTTATACCTTTCAACTAATATACTTAAATTCTGAACCTTTTATTCATTTGCCCCCTAAAGAGGGCATATCCATAATGATCACCTTGTAGTATACCACAAAATGTATTAGATCTCTGATAATCTGAAGGACGTTTTGTACTAAGGCTTAATTATAAAATACTTAACATTTTAGAATATCTTGAATGCGAGGACTTCTTCCCATATTTCAAAGAATTTAATTGGCTAGCACTTTGAATACATGTTTTCCATTGAAAAAATGTTTGAAATGAAGTATTAGATTCAAAGACCAACTCCCACAAAACCTTAAGTCCAAAATAACTGAAAACTGTGTTTTCCTGAAAAACAATAATTTTGAAATTAGCCAATAAAATTAAATTCTGCTTACCTCATTAATGTTACTTACTGTTGTGAGCCATGATTATGATTTGTATTTATGTTAATTTTTTGCTTACCTGAAAAAACAAAAAAACATGTCTGAGTTGAGTAAGAAGAAAAGAGAAAAGGAGAAGAGTAGTAGTTAAGTATATGAGAAAGATTTCTTGATGTATCACTACCAAGTCATGAATGAAAAATAGCTAAAAATGAGAGTACTCAATATAAACATAAGTGATGCCGTTAATAGGAGAAACAAACCGTTTTTAGGTAGCACTGTTAGTCTTTGTCCACTTGGTTACTGTCTATGTAAGTAGAAAAGGGGATGGAAGCAATGTACAACTATTTAATTATTTGTCTTTCTCAGTGTAGGTTTTCATAATTTGTTTTGATATATTTTTACCAGATGAATCTTGATGCAAGGTACAAACAGGACTGCAATTCAAATAAACGGTTTGCTTGTTGTAATTGTATAACTTTGCCATCAATGCAAATTAGTTTATATCTCAGAAAAAAGATAAAACATTATAGAAGTGTAATATAGTAAGTGTGGCTTTTCCTGAAGACATATTCTCCATTTTTCCAAACGCTGTTTGTATGTATAATTACATTGCAAAAGATTCATTAGTGTAAAGTAGATTCCAAATATATTTTTCTGTGAAATTATGTTTTCTTGCTTAGAATAAAATTTATTTGATAGAGTTTGTATTTTACTTAAAAGTTTGGTACAGTGCTAGTTTAATTTTTGTTTAACTTAAAAGGTATTTCTTGGCACATGAGATATCTTCCACATTCTCTTAAGTGCCTTCCCTAGACCTTTACTTCTTTCGAATCTTCACTTCATTATCTTTTTCCCTTTGCAATTGAACTTCTTGAATTCTACAACTACCTCTTCTCAATTCTTACTCACTTTTCAGTTCCCATAGAACATTTACCTCTATTATCTTATTTTACAAACACTACCCTCACCAAGGTCCAGGCTCAGACTTCCACATTCCATGGTTTGTTTTCTGCGTGTAGTGCTGCTGACTACCCTCTAATTCCTTCGGCTTCTAAAACATCCTTCTCTTGTGGGTATGTATGTAAGTATGTATGTATGTATGTATGTATGAATGATTGTTTTACTTCTCTGTCCTTTCACAATCTTCTTTGTCATATCCCTACCCTCCTGTTCCTTTTCTTAATCATTAGGACTCATAGGATCTTCATTTAAATTCTTTCAGTATACTTTCTTTCTAAGTCTTCTCAGCTATTATACTTCAGTAGCTTTAAGTACTACGTATATTTGGATGCTTCTAAAATTCTGTCACTGTCCTAGACTTCTTTACTGAGAGCCAGACCTGTATTTACAACCACTTGTGCATCTCTATCTGGAATACCAACAAAATCTGACATTAACAAACTCCAAATTAATCACATTCCCTACCCCTTTCCCCAGCCCCAGTTGTTAATGGAATCACAGCCCTAGTCACCAAGATCAGAAATATCTGGGACTTTTCCAGTTTTCTCTCCCTCATCTGTTTTTTTCTGCTCAATGTCTTAAATATGTTTCTTCTGTATCCCTCCATTGTTCCCTCTTTGTAGACCCCTATTCTTTCATCTAACTAGTGCTGTCTGATAGAAGTATACTATAAGCCACTAAATAACTAAAATTTTAAGTAAGCATCCTAAAATAATAAAAAAATGAAATAAATTGAATGATATATTTTATTTTTAATCCAATATATCTAATGTATTAGCTCAACATGTAATATTTTAAAATTATTATTGAGAGATTTTACATTCTTTTAAAAAATTATACTAAGTCTTTGAAATCTTGTGTCTATTTTATACTTGCGGCACATTCCAATTTAGACGAGCCACATTCCAAGCACTGAGTGGCCATATGTGGCTAGTGACTGTTGTCTTGGACAGCATAGATCTAGTCTATCTTAAGAGCTTTCTTTTAAGATCTAGTTTATCTATAAGAGCCTGGTTTTTATAGTCTCTCCTTAACTGGTTGATTCCCCATATCACACCAAAGTTATCTTCCTAAAAACAAATTTGATCATCGCATTCACTTGCTTTAAAAAGTCCGCTTACTCTCTGATGCCTGTAGATTTTCTTATTCAAGAACCTTTACAGTCGAGTCCTAACACATTTCACCAATTTCACATCTAGCTACTCTGTTTTTACCTGTCTACATTGGCTTCTCACTGTTCCTTACAACTCTGTTCTTTCCTCCACCTAGAATATTTTTTTCTTAGACCAATTCCTAACTATCCTTTAAGACCAACTCATACATCATCTACTCATTAAAGTCTTCTGTGACATCCTCAGTTAATTTCTGAGTCCTATATGTATATACAAATCTGTGTTCATATCTCTGTTATAAGCACTTAATCTGTTTATGCTTAGCTGTCACTATTTTGTTTCCCCAGACCTAAGCATACTTACTAAGCTTATGGTTTAGCATGCTTGAATGAATAAGCATATGTATTTGGACTACACTTTTTAATTGGACAGTTTTGTTTCTGTAATTTTAATCATTTCAAGGAAGAATTTAAAAAGTTATTTGTAAGGCTGGATTGTTGCTCTAAATTGATTTTGCTTTTCTCATAGGTTCAAGTAAAAAAACAGCTGAGAGAAACAAAAGACAAGAAAAATGAAAACTCATTTGAGAAACAGGTCTCCTGTCATGAAAATTCTAAAAGCTGTATAAGGTTAGTGATTAACTTTAGAAGTGGAATGCAAATGAGTGGAACAGAAGTTAACTAGTACAAAAAAGGTATTAAAAAAATGAAGTGGGGTTTAAATGTATTTAATCACTTATTCAAAAGCACACACTTGATAATTTAAGGAGGGACTAGCTGAAATCTGAGAATCTGATTTGAGCTCTACTCTGTTTTTGGTGAAGAATTGGTTCTGGCTGGGCATGGTGGCTCACTCCTATAATCCCAGTGCTTTGGGAGGCTAAGGTGAGAGGATCACATGAGACCAGGAGTTTGGTACCAGCCTGGGGAACATAGTGAGGACCGTCCTCCCCTCCTCTGTCTCTACTAAAAAATAACACAAAATAAAAAGAATTAAAAGAATTCGTTCTTTTCAGTTTATTTCTGAATCTGTTTTAGACCAAACCTTTTGTAAAATAAAATGTTCAGCAATGTAAAATTTCTGAATGCTGGCCAGGTGTGGTGGCTCACACCTTTAAGGCTAGCACTTTGGGAGACTGAGGTGGGAGGATCACTTGAGCTCAGGAGTTCAAGACCAGCCTAGGCAACATAATGAGACCCTGTCTCTACTAAAAATTTACAGATTAGCCGGGCATGGTGACACATGGCTGCAGTTCCAGCTACTTAGGAAGTTGAGGCAGGGAGATATCTTGAACCCAGGAATCTGAGGCTGCAGTGAGCTATGATCACACCAGTGCATTCCAGCCTGAGCAACAGAGCAAGACTCTGTCTCAAAAACAAACCAAAATTCTGAATGCTTACCCTCATTTTTGTACTTAATCACATACCAATATTAAACACCTAATAGATAAGCATTGGTGCTCATACCACACTGTAAATAGCACTGATCAAGTTACTTATGGACAAAAAGTACGGAATACCTAATAGTATAGCACAACATTCTTCATCAGTTATAATTTAAACTGTTTATTAACCTTCACGTACTGCTTTCCTGTGTTGCAGCAGGCACTTGCTGTCTACTATAACAAGTGTTTATGTTAAAACATTTTTTTAAATATACAGGTTTCTTTTTTTTAGTTGCTGTTAAAACCATTGCCTATTTTAACATAAATGCCTAGAAATGCGGTGTTTAATACTTGAGTTTAGTAGGTGTTTAACACATTTTTGAGGTAAATTGAATATGAGTAGTACACTGGAAATTAATGCTTAAATAACTTGTTCTAATACATTTGAAACTTAAGCTCATTTTGATCTGAAATGTATTTAGAGCTGTCCAAGAGTTGAATTTTTAAGTCAATATGTTGTCAGATTCATAATTAAATCTATGATTCATTAGTACTTTTCATCAGAATACTAATTTCTTAAAAGAGTAAGTTTATTTAGTTCCTAAAACAGTTGGCAGTAGTCACTGAGATTAATTCAACCTATTACTAATTTATAACACTGTAAGCTCCTTAGATGTTAACTTTTGGGTAGTTATGGCATTCTTTAAGAATGTGAAGAATGATTCAGATCCCTTCTGCTAGAAAAATACACGTTTACAGACATAAAACTTTGTATATGATTTCAAGGTATTCATGGAATACCCCCTCCAAGAGCCTACCCATGAGCCCCAAAGTTAGTAACTGCATTAGACCAAATTTTATAATTATTTCTGAAAAATACTTATCAGCTTTGGTTCTTGCATTTGTATTTACATAGTAGATAATAGTACACTTTTCCCAGGCATAGTGAAGAAATAACCTTTTGGTAGAAATACTTTTAATTCTTGATACAACTCATATCACTGGCTGTGACAGTATCATAGATATGCATTTTTTTTTTTCTCCCTCAAAATTACCCAATTCTCTTGGCTCTTGCCAAGGGTGTAGTGGTCATCACAGAATTACCTATAAGGCTCACAGCTCTTATTTGAGTCTAACATAGCAAAAGTCGTCCCCATATTTAACTGCTTTTTCTGAGATTTGTCATAAGGAAATAACAGCTGCAAAATTAATAATTTGCCTTTGCCCACCAAGGCATAGCTTAACTATTTTTCCCAAGGTGGAAAATCTCTGTCAGCTGTTGGATATTTACATTATACTCTTTTTTGGAGTCTTGGATGTTTTTAGTAGTCCTGTCATTCAGTCTTCTATTTACTGGATACTTGGTCTTCCAACACACAGACAAACTTCATTCAATTTTGCCTCTCCCTTCCAAAGCAATAAAACCCTGGGACCTCTCTGTTTCTGATACTTTTTACCAGTTCCAAAGAAGGCATTGCAGTGGTATTTTGTTTCTTGGTAGTGAACCTCCATTTTAAGTCATTGTAGAGAATGGTAACTGAGTGAGGAGTGAAACTAATCATGCTTTCTTTGCTAGAATTTCCTAATGGTCCTTTTAAAAAAGACAATATCTGCTTACCTCTAGTCTGCGTGGCTCAATAGCCAGTCAGTCATGATCAGCCAGTAAGATTGTTGTTTAAAGACTGAGATGAAGCCAGACGTGGTGGCTCATGCCTGTAATCCCAGCACTTTGGGAGGCTGAGGGGGAGAATCGCTTGAGATCCGGGGTTTGAGACCAGCCTGGGCAACATAGTGAGACCTCGTGTCTAGTAAAAAAAATAATAATAAGAATAAGAATAAAAAATATATTAGCCAGGCATGGTAGCTTACACCTGTAATTCCAGCACTTAGGGAGGCCAAGGCGGGAGGATCACTTGAGCCCAGGAGTTCAAGAACAGCCTCATGAGCAAAGGGAAACTCTCTGCAAAAATAGAAAAAATTAACCTGACAAGGTGGTGCATGCCTGTAGTCCAAGCTACTCAGGAGGCTGAGCTGGGAGGATTGCTTCTGCCCAGGAGGTCAAGACTGCAGTAAGCCGTGATTGCACCACAACAGTCCAGCCTGGGTGTCAGCAAAATCTTGTCTCAAAAAAAAAAAAAAAAAAAAGACTGAGATAATACAACTCAATAGATATTAAAACCTAACTTGACATTCTAATATCTCATAGGAGTCTGTGAGAATATCCTTAAACCATTTACCAGATTTCAGCATAGTTACCAAAATCAGTGCATGATAGATTTCATTTTGATGGAGGAGAATGAGTTGAAAATAAGTGAGCAAAATGACAGTTTTTTTCTTAATTCTTTCCTGTCTTTATTGATGTTTACAGAAGAAAAGCCATCGTAAGAGAAGATCTATTAAGTGCAAAAGTTTGTGACTTGAAGTGGATACATAGTAAGTTACTTTTTGCTTGTGGATTCTACCTTTTTTTTTGTTGTTTTTTAATTTAATGGTTGTGTCAGAGTTCTCATCAGTAACACTTCAGGCTGGAAAATAGTCCTCAGAACTCTGTACATTGTGTTAAATCCTACATAAATTTTGTTTTCATGGAGCAATTTATACTGTTTTCTGCCCCTTTTTTCCTTCTTGCTCCTCTTAAAAGGGGTGTGTGTGTGCGTGTGTTGGGAGAAAAGAGTGTTTCACAATTTCTTGGTGTTGACCAGCTC